>NC_000001.11:206063374-206214890 GCF_000001405.40 Homo sapiens
CCTCTCCCTCTCCCTCTCCCCATGGTCTCCCTCTCCCTCTCTTTCCACCGTCTCCCTCTCACGCCAAGCCAAAGCTGGACTATACTGCTGCCATCTCGGCTCACTGCAACCTCCCTGCCTGATTCTCCTGCCTCAGCCTGCGGAGTGCCTGCAATTGCAGGCGCGCGCCGCCACGCCTGACTGGTTTTCCTATTTTTTTGGTGGAGACGGGGTTTCGCTGTGTTGGCCGGGCTGGTCTCCAGCTCCTAACCGTGAGTCATCCGCCAGCCTCGGCCTCCCGAGGTGCCGGGATTGCAGACGGAGTCTGGTTCACTCAGTGCTCAGTGGCGCCCAGGCTGGAGTGCAGTGGCGTGATCTCGGCTGGCTACAACCTCCACCTCCCAGCCGCCTGCCTTGGCCTCCCAAAGTGCCGAGATTGCAGCCTCTGCCCGGCCGCCACCCCGTCTGGGAAGTGAGGAGCGTCTCTGCCTGGCCGCCCATCGTCTGGGATGTGAGGAGCCCCTCTGCCTGGCTGCCCAGTCTGGAAAGTGAGGAGCGTCTCTGCCCGGCCGCCATCCCATCTGGGAAGTGAGGAGCGCCTCTTCCAGGCCGCCATCCCATCTAGGAAGTGAGGAGCGTCTCTGCCCGGCCGCCCATCGTCTGAGATGTGGGGAGCGCCTTTGCCCCGCCGCCCCGTCTGGGATGTGAGGAGCGCCTCTGCCCAGCCGCGACCCCGTCTGGGAGGTGAGGAGCGTCTCTGCCCGGCCGCCCCGTCTGAGAAGTGAGGAGACCCTCCGCCCGGCAGCCGCCCCGTCTGAGAAGTTAGGAGCCTCTCCGCCCGGCAGCCGCCCCGTCTGGGAAGTGAGGAGCGTCTCTGCCCGGCAGCCACCCCGTCCGGGAGGGAGGTGGGGGGGGTCAGCCCCCCGCCCGGCCAGCCGCCCCGTCCGGGAGGTGAGGGGAACCTCTGCCCGGCCGCCCCTACTGGGAAGTGAGGAGCCCCTCTGCCTAGCCAGCTGCCCCGTCCGGGAGGGAGGTGGGGGGGTCAGCCCCCCGCCCGGCCAGCCGCCCCGTCCGGGAGGGAGGTGGGGGGGTCAGCCCCCCGCCCGACCAGCCGCCCCGTCCGGGAGGTGAGGGGCGCCTCTGCCCGGCCGCCCCTACTGGAATGAGGATGATTGTTGGTCAGCCCCCCACCCGGCCAGCTGCCCCGTCCGGGAGGTGAGGGGCGCCTCTGCCCGGCCGCCCCTACTGGGAAGTGAGGAGCCCCTCTGCCCGGCCGGCCGCCCCGTCCCGGGGGGAGGTGGGGGGGTCAGCCCCCCGCCCGGCCAGCCGCCCCATCCGGGAGGTGAGGGGTGCCTCTGCCCGGCCGCCCCTGCTGGGAAGTGAGGAGCCCCTCTGCCCGGCCACCGCCCCGTCTGGGAGGTGTGCCCAGCAGCTCATTGAGAACGGGCCAGGATGACAATGGCGGCTTTGTGGAATAGAGAGTGGGGAAAGGTGGGGAAAAGATTGAGAAATCGGATGGTTGCCGTGTCTGTGTAGAAGGAGGTAGACATGGGAGACTTTTCATTTTGTTCTGTACTAAGAGAAGTTCTTCTGCCTTGGGATCCTGTTGATCTGTGACCTTACCCCCAACCCTGTGCTCTCTGAAACATGTGCTGTGTCCACTCAGAGTTAAATGGATTAAGGGCAGTGCAAGATGTGCTTTGTTAAACAGATGCTTGAAGGCAGCATGCTCATTAAGAGTCATCACCACTCCCCAGTCTCAAGTACCCAGGGACACAAATGCTGCGGAAGGCCGCAGGGTCTTCTGCCTAGGAAAACCAGAGACCTTTGTTCACTTGTTTATCTGCTGACCTTCCCTCCACTATTGTCCTATGACACTGCCAAATCCCCCTCTGTGAGAAACACCCAAGAATGATCAATTAAAAAAAAAAAAAAGATTTTTCTGGCTACTGTATTGAGCCAGACTGTAGGGGCAAGAGTGGAAGTAGAGAAGGTGGTAATGCAGGAATGCCCAGTGGTTAAACCCTCATAACAAAAGGACTTGCATGCTTCTCTGGAGGCAGCTAGAAGGCAGGACTCCAGGCAGAAGAGAGAAACCCATGTTGAGGTCAGTCTGTGGATGGCAGGGACCCCACAGACTGGACCAATGGTGGCAGTGGGAAAGGTTCCTGGGGAGGTTGGTCAAGTACTAACAAGGCCAGAAGCCTTCTACCTTCAGTCTTGCTCTGGCAACCCCACCTCTTCTTTCATCTTCTCCCATCTAGGGAGATGTCTAATGGGCATGATAGTTAGAGGTGGTGAGAGGATAGGGACAGGAAAGTCCTGCCTGTGGGACAACAGGGATCAGGGACTCAACAAGTCTTAGGCCTCTCACCAGGACCAGCATGTTGGGAAGCTGCCTCTCCATCCATATTCAGTCTCAGAATGGGCAGCTGCTTCCCCTGCACCCTCATCTTGGTCTGGTCTTGGTGATAGGGTGGGGAGAGTGGGACATTGCACAGAAGGGGCGCAGAAGGCAGTGGGAACCCAATCATCGGTTTTTCAGTTTTTCAGTGGCCTGTATCTGCTTTAGCCAGGACTGGGCTTGGCCCCAGGACTAAAGGGACCAAAAAGAGGAACCACTGTTTAGACTGCCATGACACACAGGGCCCGGGAAGATCGCTGGCTGGATGTGTTCAGCACCTTTGGTCCCTCCAGGGATTTCTGAAGATTCTCATTCAAATCAGTACCTGAGTTTGGGAATCAGTGACTGCAGGCAGTGTTTCCCAGCATATTCCATGGAGAATCCCTCCAGAGCCCTGGTCTTTAGAGGCGTATGCCTCTGGTTCTACCACTCTCTGCAGTCTCGTTGCTCTTATCTGCGAATCTCTTATCTATTAACTAGACATTCCCCTAATTTATAGGGGTGTCTACTTAAAATTATTGATATCTTTAAATTTTAAAAAAGGAGAACTCTCTTTCTTATAAAGGGTTACAACCTGGGCCAGGCACAGTGGCTCACGCCTGTAATCCCAGCATTTTGGAAGGCCGAGGCGGACGGATCACTTGAGGCCAGGAGTTTGAGACCAGCCTGACCAACATGGTGAAACCCTGTCTCTACTAAAAATACAGAAATAAGCTGGGTGTGGTGGCACATGCCTGTAATCCCAGCTACTCCGGAGGCTGAGGCAGAAGAATCGCTTGAACCTGGGACGTCAAGTTTGCAGTGAGCTGAGATTGCACCACTGCACTCCAGCCTGGGCAACAAGAGAGAGACTCTGTCTCAAAAAAAAAGAGTTACAACCTACAGGCAGGGAAGTGGAGCCTCTGGCTGAAACTGAAAGCAGACACTTCAGAGACAGAAGGGAGAGGCTGAGATTTATGCTTAGTGAGACTGGCTGTACATACATATTCAGTAGGTTATAGGACAATCTTATAAATATTTATGAAGGGTCCTAATGCATGTGTAGTGCATAAACATATATGTTACATATGACCCATATTTGTAGAAACAGTATTAAAATGCAGTAAATTTAGGCTCTGTATGTCAAAAGGTGAAACATAAGGCACAAAGCCACTTTGTGCTTAATCTCAGTAAACCAGCCAGAGCCAGTCAGTGGTTGGTGGTCAGTTATCAGGACAGGACGGAATTCTTTGTCAGGCCGCTCAGTTTTCATGGTGAACCTGTGATAAGGGAGTGGAGTCTGGCCACGGTGTCAGGTGATCTGCTGAAGTCCATGGAAGGATCTTCCAGTCTTTGTTTTTCAGATATTGGTTTCTGTTTATCTCTTAGAAAGTCTGGTAATAACACAAAGAGGGGGTACTGAGGCATATCTAACCTCCTATCTCATCAAAGCCAGGGAAACTTAAAGTTTTTCTGGGTGATCTGGGCCAAGAGGGGTCCATTCAGTCTGTCAGAGGCATCAGATTTCATTCTGGTTCCACAGGGGACTCCAGAACGTGATTCCCGGTCTCTCCACCTTAATCCTGTCATCATCCTAGGAGATTTTAGTGGCAATGTAGATAGTTCTTCCTAGCTCTGAGCTCAAAGTTTCCCAAAGGGTATTTTTCTAGTTATGAGAGACATTAATGGGTGTAGGGATAGAGAGATTAAATGAGACCTATGATCACATAAGTTTGGAAAATGATGAATAAGCAAAGGGTAATGTAGAAGAAGAAATTTTCATTTAAAACCAAAGCTGATGATGTGGATTCCTAATAAGATAAGTGAGCAACAACTTGGAGGGGGCCCCAGGTGGGGAGAGCAATTTTTCTGCCAGACAGCTCATCACTGACAACCCACTGGCAGGACATCCTGTTCCCAAATACCTCACTCCACACATAGCCCCAACAGCACAACCTCATTCTGCACATACCCCCTCCAGTACAACCCTAGAAAACTTCCCTCCAGTCCCTGCCTCTTTGCAGACAGCCCCTTCTCTGCCGTGCTGCCCATTGCCTCCTTGCAACATATTCTCCCTGTAATGAGCTTGCTTTCTTTAACTCACTACTGTCTTGGTAAATTCTTTTACCATCTGTGACGCCAGCCCCAGCCAGTTGCACCTGCAACAGATGACAGCTACTTCTGTCTTCTAAGGAGGGTGGAATGGTTCACATCGATAAGAAAATACGTACTCCATGGCTCCATTCCACTTACGGGGACTGGAGTGGGGAGGAGAAAGTAGAAAGGAAACTAACATTTCTGTGCTTCTGCGTCTTTTCTATGTTGATGACCTGCAAGTGCAGGGCAGACAGCCCATGTGACCTGATTGCCTAAGATTTTCCTGCTGTACACCTGTTGGCCAGCAAAGTTATTACTAGGCCCACTTTCAATCTTAAAAGTGTCATAGTTTGGACGACGTATTATGTGGTTACCTGTTAATGAGGCTTTGAAAATGTAAAAGTAGGTTCAAGACCAAATAAGGAGAGGAAAGCAAAGTTGTTTTGTACAATAAAGTGAGGAGAGTTGAGTTGGGGTAGGGTGGAGGGGGCAAGGGAGATAAGAGGAAAGTTTTGAGGGGGAAAAGGGGCTAAAATTATGGAGATGTAAAAGGCTTTCACTACCACAAACCTCAGTAAAGCCACTGAACACAGACATGCCTTATAGGGTATTTTTGGGAAGGAAAATTCATGAAGAGGGGACTGAAATCCACAACTCAATCAGCATAGAGCAGAAATAAGGGGGAAGTGGTAAGAGGTGCACTATGAATGAGCTGGAGAATTTAAAGGGAGGCTGAACTCAGAGTCGAAGTGACCTTGAGAAGATAAACCCTCTGGAAATTCTCAGAATCTCAGGATGGGCCCCAGAGTATCTAAAGATGCTACAGTTCAAGGGATTGAGCCAATTGTATATAAATCTTAATGGATAGGTTGACCTCAGCATAAAACTTGGGTGGAAATTTTAAACAGGTTTCTTTATTTCAGCACTTCTCAGAGCACTCATTGTATAAGGTACTTTGTGAATATCCAGATAGTATTCTTCAAACTCTCTTTTATTTCCCCAGGGGGCATCCCATAGGACAAGAAGCATTCTTTGTGACACTCTGTGGGAAGAGCTGGTTTAAAGGGGTACCTGTCTGGGCAACACTGTCCCACAGGGGCCCCCATGACCAAACTAACTCTGCTTCTACCCAGAAAGGGTGCAGAGTAGCCACTAGACTTTTATGTGGCAAATGGGATGGTTATGCCCAGCCTGAAGCCAAGATGCCCTTTCTGGTTGCCTTGATTTGTGTTTAACAGCTCCAAATGCTTAATGAGGCAGTAAGAGACGTCTCTCTTGGGCAGTACTTCCCAACTAGGGGTGAGTTTGCCACCCTTACCCCCATCCCAGTGAATATTTGCAATTCCTAAAGACGTGTTTTGATTGTCACACCTGGGTGGGGAACATGCTACTGGCATCTAATGCATAGAGGGCAGTAATGCTGCTAAACATCTTTCAACGCACAGGACAGAGCCCCACAAAAGAGAATTATCTAGCCCCAAATGTCCATAACACTGCTGTTGAGAAAACCTACCGCAGGATCTTACTGGGCTTCATAGGTAAGCTTGCCTTTGTTCTGGCTTCTGTAGATATATAAAATAAAGACACTGCCCAGTCCCTCCCTCAACGTCCCGAGCCAGGGCTCAAGGCAATTCCAATAACAGTAGAATGAACACTAAATATTGATTTCAAAATCTCAGCAACTAGAAGAATGACCAACCATCCTGGTTGGCCTGGGACTGTCCTAGTTTTAGCATTGAAAGTTTCAGGTTCCAGGAAAGCCCTCAGGCCTGGGCTGCTGGTCACCCTAGCAGCTGAGGGACTCTTCAATACAGAATTAGTCTTTGTGCACTGGAGATGAATATACTTTAATTTGTAACATGTGAAAACATCTATAAACATCTACTGAAGCCTGTTCTGTCTGCACCGACATTTTCATTGAGTACGGATTCTTCCTACCAGATACAGCTGCTCTACAACTTTCGAGGGCTGGTATAAAACTAGCTTTTACCTATTTTTAAAAATTACATGAATAGTAAAAACTTGGATTAACCCAGTATTCGGGTATTTTCAATTTCCTTGGGAGCTTAGAGGACGGACAAATAAAAAGATTATTTCAACATCAAATATATGCTATTGTTTACATATGAAGATAACCACATATATGTATAAATTCACCGTTACTTTTTAGCAATACTATAAAATCCAACAGAAAAAAATAGCATTTACTATTAAAAAAAAAAAAAGAATTAGTCTTTGTGGGTTTGGGGCAAGCAACTGCCCTTCTCAGTTAGGATGGGGGAGTTCTGGACATTTCTAGCTAAAGCCCAGGGGTCAAGGGAATGATAAACTCCTCGGTCTTGAGCATTGAGAGAAATTCTACCAGCTCGCCCTCAGTAGAAGGGTCTATAGTCCTGCCCCTCACCCGCCTGGCAGGGAGAGCTGCCTTTCTCTCCTGCCATCCCCCTATATCCACGGCTTCTCTCAGAGGAGCTGCTGAGTGCATTTTGCAGAATGAGTGACTGGGCACTGCTTTTCCAGAAGATTCTCAGGAAATTCTGTTCGGTAGGCAGAAGCACTGCTAGACGTTTGGCTATGTGACTGTTGTTATCTCTCCTGGGAAAGCATAATTCTGGAAGGCTCTGAACATCCCCAAAGAAAAAAAAATGCATCTATGTTTTAACAAAGGCAGGGTCTTGGAACATGAAATGCTTTGCACAGTCCTGAGAGAAATCTCCCATGTGTCTGGAAATGAGGCTCACTTGCTCTCTTAATGTTTCTACTGTACTGGGGAATAGGAGAAGCCAGCTTCTCGTGTCCAGTGAGGAGGAATATTTTATCACTGAAATTTAGAATTGCTGGCGCCTGGTGACCATAAAAAGCAGACTGCCTTTAGTTGGTTTTATTATTTTTAAATCCTCCACAGACAATGCGCCCCTTGAATGCCAGATTCCAGGATGGACTGCTCCCACTACCCTCCCCACCACTGGTCACCCCTGTCCTATCAGCCGTCAGTCTTGGCCCTTCACTTACTGTGTACAACACTTGGCAAGGTAACTAATTTCTATAAGTCCAGGCTTTCTCACCTGTAAAATTGAAATAATAATGATATTGATTGATAGGTATTGGCTGATTTTATTAGGGTTCTCTAGAAGGACAGAACTAATAAGATATACGTATATATAAAGGGGAATTTATTAAGGAGTATTGACTCACACGATCACAAGGTGAAGTCTCACAATAGGCCATCTGTAAGATGAGGAACAAGGAAGCCAGCCGGAGTCCCAAAACCTCATAAGTAGGGAAGCCAACAGTGCAGCCTTCAGTCTGTGGTTGAAGGTCTGAGAGCCCCTGGCGCCCTACTGGTATAAGTCCAAGAGTCCAAAAGCTGAAGAACTTGGAGTCTAATGTTCAAGGGCAGGAAGAATCCAGCACGAGAGAAAGATGAAGGCCGGAAGACTCAGGCCAGTCTAGCCCTTCATGATTCCTCTGCCAGCTTTTATTCTAGCCACGCTGGCAGCAGATTAGATGGGTCCACCCGGATTGTGGGTGGGTCTGCTTCTCCCAGTCCACTGACTCAAATGTTAATCTCCTTTGGCAACATCCTCACAGACATACCCAGGAACAATACTTTGCGTCCTTCAATCCAATCAAATTGACACCCAATATTAACCATCATACTGATGATATTATATGATAATATTCTGTAAACTATAAGATGCTGTTGAAAATGCAAAAAAAAAAAAAAAAAAGGCATTGAGCAGTGACTCACATTTGTCATCCCAGCGCTTTGGGAGGGCAAGGTGAGAGGATCACTTAAGGCCAGGAGTTCAAGACCAGTCTGGGCAACATGGCGAGACCACATCTCTACAAAAAAATAATAAAAAGTAGCCAGGCCTGGTGGTGAATGCCTGTGGTCCTAGCTACTAGGGAAGCTGAGGCAGGAGGATCCCTTGAGCCCAGGAGGCTGAGACTGCAGTGAGCTATGATCATGCCACTGCACTCTAGCCTCGGTAACAAAGTGAGACGCCCCCTGTCCAACAACTCAAAAAAAAAAAAAAAAGAAAAAGAAAGTGTAAAAAATTAACAACTGATTGTAACTGATTATGTTATAAAGGATTATTTCCCATTGGTCAGTTGAATGGACTAAATCAGTAGGCGTATTTTGCCATCATTAGATGGAAGAAGCCATATGAGTTAAAACCCTTTTTTTTAGAACCTGTCTCAGGTACCATTTAGCAACAGATCTTCATAAACAGGAACGCAACAAATAAGTCTTTCATGCCGCCCCTAATTTTTCATTTCCTTAAGGAGCTGATGATCTAGGTAGGAATTTAAAACTGGCACAAAACAGTGGAAGAAAATCTAGCCCAGAAGGAAGAAAGGACACATTCAATGTACAAAGGTCCAAACATACAAAACTGATGAACATAGAAACATGGCCCTTATTCCAAGAGGATTCTTGTTTTTATAAGAGAATGGGCCGGGCGCGGTTGTTCACGCCTATAATCCCAGCACTTTGGGAGGCCGAGGTGGGTGGATCACAACGTCAAGAGTTCGAGACCATCCTGGCTAACACGGTGAAACCCTGTCTCTACTAAAAATACAAAAAAATTAGCCAGGCATAGTGGTAAGAGCCTGTAATCCTAGCTACTCGGGAGGCTGAGGCAGGAGAATAGCTTCAACCTGGGAGGCGGAGGTTGCAGTGAGCCGAGATCGTGCCACTGCACTCCAGCCTGGGCAACACAGCAAGACTCCATCTCAAAAAGAAAAAAAAGAGGATGTGTTTTAGGCTTTGTAAAAATACCATATTCCCGTAATGTACTCTGAAAATATGTTTCTGGGCATAGATATTAAAAACTCAATTTACTGAATTCCAGCATGTCCCCTGAAACACCACAACTGGAGGTGGTCTTTACTGCCCAAAGAAAGCAGGGTGACAGCCAGAAGCCCTAACATTTATGACTGCTCCTCATGGCTCAGCATCTGTATACACCCACCACATTCCTCCTGTGTCTTTTTTTTTTTTTTTTTTTTGAGACAGGGTCTCGCTCTGTCACCTAGGCTGGAGTGCAGTGGTGTGATCACAGCTCACGGCAACCTTAACCTTCTGGACTCAAGCAATCCCCCTCACCCCGCCTCAACCCCCCAAGTAGCTGGGACTATAAGCGTGCACTACCATGGGCAGCTAAGTTTTGTATTTTTGGTAGAGACAGGGTTTCGCCATATTCCCCAGGCTGGTCACAAACTCCTGGATTCAAGCAATCCACCTACCTTGGCCTCCCAAAGTGCTGAGATTACAGGCATAAGCCACCATGCCTGGCTCCTCCTGTGTCTTTACCAGGCCTTTGGGATCTCCTTGGCAGGCTCTACCTGTCTCTGATGTGGGAGCACCTCAGGGCTCTGTCCTGGCCCTTTGCCCTCTCACTCTACTCCCAAGGCTTCAGGTGCCATTTGCTTGCTGATGCCACTAAAATCTACATTGCCAGCAGCAGACAGGTGCATACATCTGTTTCCTGGACTCATCTTTTGGGCATATCATAGCAACAATCATGATGATGATGATAAACACTTGTATAGTCTTTAAGTGTGCCAGACACATTGTAAGTATTTCACATATATTAACTCATAACTCTCATTACTGCACTTGAGAAAGCTAGTATTATTATTATTATCATCTCTAAGAAGTGGAGTCACAGACAGCTTAGGTAACTTCTCCAAGATCACACAGCAATAAGGTGGAAGGGCCTGTTGGGCTTCGGAGTCTGAGTTTTTGTCACTATGCATACTGGGCCCCGTGTTCTCAAACTCAACACATCTGAAACGAAAGTATCCCGCTGTTCCTCCATGACTCCCTGTCTCGCGCAACCAACCCACTTGCCCAAGCTGGAAATCTGTGAGTCACCCTGGAATTCTCTCCTTCCCACCTCCATTCAAAGTAGTTCAATCACCAAATCCTATCATTTCTACCTCCTACATATTTAAAACATCCGTTTAATGGCCTCTTTATCTCCTCCAGTCTATTCTCCACATTGCAACCAGAGGGTTCCTCTAAAAAGAACTTAATCTTGCCTCCTTTTGACTGACCAACTAGCCTTCAATGGGCTAGCACTATCTGTCGGTTAAATCCAGACTCCTTAACACAGCAAACAAGGGCCTCCGTAATCCGGCCCATTCCCACCTTTGCAGCCTCATCACTCCTCACTGCCTCGTACCCGCTCCCCTCTATCTTGGCTGGCTCTCAGTTTTTCAAATGCACTGGGCACTTTCTCTCTCATGGGACTTTCTGCTCTTTCCTCTGCCCAGAATCCTCCCTCCACTCCCTAGATCAGAGTTGGGACCTTCTCTGACCAAAGACTGTGATAGGACCCTCTGCTGTATGTTCCTTGTCTCCTTTTAACTTTCCATAATAAAAAATTCATCACACCTCAGTGCAATTTTTTATCTAAAGTCTATGTTCCCAATAGCATGAGGATGGGGACAATGTCTATCTTCTTCAACTCTGTATCCCAGTGCTTAGCACAGAGCCACATATATAGTGGACTATCAAGAAATATCTGTAGAATGAATGAATGGATGAATAAATGAATGAATGTCAGAGCTACTTGGAGGGATGGCATACTGGCCATCATAGCAAAGCAAATGTTTTATATGATTCTTTTTAATATTAGCCTTATGAGATAGAATTCACATACCACACATTTCACCAATTAAAAGTGCACAGTTCCGTGGTTTTTAGTATATTCACAGAGTTATGCAACCACCCACTGTTGTGCGCCACCATCAATTTCAGGCCATTTTCATCACCCCTAAAGGAAACCCTGCACTCAGGAGTCATCCCCCATTTCCTTTATATTATTACAGGTTCGGTACCCCTACTCTGAAAATCTGAAATCTGAAATGCTCCAAAAGCTGGAACTTTTTGGGTGCTGACATGATGCCACAGGCAGAAAACTTCTAATTCGACCTCATGTGACAGGTCTCAGTCAAAATGTAGGCACAGAGCACACAGTTTATTCAACATTCCCAAAGGGAAAAAGACCCTCCCAGCCCCCTCATAGGTGATGTATTTTTTCTGCACGTGCCCAGGTTCCCTTCACCCAGGCACACCCACAAAGGGTAATAACAGGGCCAGACGTGTTAATGGCCCATTCCCACAATGCCCCACAGGGGGCCAAAACTGTGTGCATTACTCACTGTGTTTTTTTGCTCATTCTCTGCCTGTGGTGTAAATATATTGTTGAAAATGTCCAGAAGGCCTGCCAAATATCTCTATGGGTAACAGTGATAAGAAAAAGAGGAAGCATTCATGTTTATCTATAGCACGGAACATCAAGCTGCTGGAGAAACTGGACAGCAGTGTAAGTGTGTAGCATCTTGCTGGAAAGTATGGTGTTGGAATGGCCAACATATATGACATGAAGAAACAAGGATAAACTGTTGGAGTCCTGTGCTGAATATGATGAACAGAAGTTAATGAAAAATAGAAAAACACCGCATAAAGCTAAAAATGAAGACCTCAATCATGTATGAAAAGAGTGGATCATTGGCAGTGGACATATGTCACTTAATGGTATGCTGACCATGAAACAAACACAGATCTATGATGATGGACTGAAAATTGAAGACAACTGTGAATATTCAACAGGCTGGCGGCAGAAATTTAAGTAAAGATACAGCATTAAATTTTTAAACTATTGTGGTGACAAAGCATCTGTTGGTTATAAAGCAGCAGATAAATTCATTGGTGAGTTTGCCAAGGTCACAGTTGAAAAAATCTGATGCCAAAGTCTTTTTTTTTTTTTTGAGACAGAGTCTCACTCTGTTGCCCAGGCTGGAGAGCAGTGGCATGATCTCTTTTCACTGCCACCTCCACCTCCTGGGTTCAAGCGATTCTCCTGCCTCAGCCTCCCGGTAGCTGGGATTACGGGTGCCCACCACTACGCCCGGCTAACATTTTTGTATTTTTAGTAGAGACAGGGTTTCACCATGTTGGCTAGGCTGGTTTTGAACTCCTGACCTCAAGTGATCCACCCGCCTCAGCCTCCCAAGTCCTACGATTACAGGCATGAGCCACCGTGCACAGCCAGAACAAGTCTTTAATGCTGATGAAACATCACTGTCTTGGCATTATTGCCCCAGAAAGACACTGACTACAGCTGATGAGACAGCACTTATAGGAATTAAGGATGCCAAGGAGAGGATAACTATGCTTAGATGTGCTAATGCAATAGGCATGCATAAGTGTACTTGCTGCGAGAAGCAAAAACTTGTTGTTTTCTGTAAGTGAATTTCCTTCCAGTCCATTATTATGCTAACAAAAAAACATGGATCACCAGGGAGTCTTTTTTTTTTTTAATGAGACAGGGTTTTGCTCTGTCACCCAGGTTGGAGTGCTGTGGCATGGTCACAGCTCACTGCAGCCTCAAACTCCTGGGGTCAAGCCATCCTCCCGCCTCACCTTCCAGAGTAGTTAGGACTACAGGCATGCACAGGCATGTGCCACCACCCTCGGCTAATTTTGCTATGTTTTTGTAAAGACAGGGTTTTGCCATGTTGCCCAGGCTGGTCTCAAACTCCTGGGCTCAAGCGATCCACCCTCCTCGATCTCCCAAAGTGCTGGGATTACAGGCATAAGCCACTGCACCCAGCCCAGGGACATCTTTTATGCTTGGTTTCATAAACCTTTTGTACCAGAGGCTCACGCCCACGGCAGGGAAGTCGGACTGGATGACAACTGCAAGATTTTCTTGTTCCTTGACAACTGTTCTGCTCATCTTCCAGCTGAAATTCTCATCAAAAATGTTTATGCCATGTACTTCCCCCAAATGTGACTTCATTAATTCAGCCATGTGACCAGCATATCCTTAGACCAGGAAAGAATAAATATAAAAACACATTCTTGAATAGCATCCTGGAAGCAGTGAACAGAAGTGTGGGTGTGGAAGGTTTTCAAAAGGAATTTAGCTGAAGGATGGCTTATATGGACTACATTTTTCTTATCTCTCCTTATAAGAATTTTTGATTAGATCATTTCCAGCATCCTTTCTGCTCTAAAATCTCATGGTTTTGTGTATTACATGTCATCCACGACTCTGCTTTAAATAGAAAAGTCAGAATTATTGAAGTCTGTCTTGTTCTCTGCATCCCCACCAGCTGGGATTGTGCCTGTACCTAGTATGTGCTCGACACATGTTTGTGGCATGGATAAATGCGTGAATTAAGGTGCTGTGTTACATATGCATGGTGTATACATGCATCGTGTCCACTCCCTACTACATGCAAACACTTGCCGATGATGAGAAGAGGTTGTTGCCAGTGCTTGGAAGACAACGACACAAAAACACAGCTGTGCATGCCTGGAATGAACTCTGGCCTGCAACTGTGTTCAGTGATGATGGTGAGCCGGTGATGACTTGGAAGGATTCCTTATGTGAAGTGAAAAAAAAAGATGTCTAAGCTCTTTATATATGCAAAATATATACCTTCAGAGTCTGTAAGTAAGCAGGAAGAAGTGTATGTCAAAGAAGTTTTTAACATTCTTGGGACTACAGCTCTTCATTCATTGACCAATGGTGAAATAGCTGAAATGGTTCTGATTCAAGGTGACTGTGATAATGGTGACCATCAAGATGACATTAATACTGCAGAGTAAGTGCCTATAAACAACATGGTGAGGCTGGGTGTGGTGGCTCACATCTGTAATCCCAGAACTTTGGGAGGGGAAGGAGGGAGGATGACTTGAGGGTAGGAGGTCAAGACCAGCTTGGTTAACCTAGTGAGACTTTGTCTCTACAAAAAATTAAAAAGTTAGCAGGGCATGGTGGTGAGTGCCTGCAGGCCTAGCCACACAAGGCAGGAAGATTGCTTGAGCCTGGGAACTCAAGGCTACAACATCGTAGGTGGAGACTGAAAGCCTGGGGATGCTTGTTGCTGCTGTTGTCTAACAGCTGGTACAGGTATTATAGAGATGCTACGTAGTTGCTTAGTTACCCTGAACACATTGTTTTCTCACCGTATTAAGGGCACATCACATTTTTTTCTGTTAAGTACTTACCTGTGAATAAGTGGAAGAAAATGATTGCTTATCAGTAGCAAGTAAATTCAGAGCCATGAATGATGGTGATGCCAAATAGCCAGATTGTCCACATGGGTGCTGAGATAGTGACACCTTTGCTTTCTGAGGTTTCGCTGTACACAAACTTTGTTTCATGCACAAAATTATTCAAAATATTACATAAAATTACCTCCAGCCTATGTCTATAAGGTACATAAGAAACATAAGTGAATTTCGTGTTCAGGCTTGGGTTCCATCCCCAAGATATCTCATTATGTATATGAAAATATTCCAAAATTCAACTCCCTTCCCCACCAAATCTGAAATATTTCTGGTCATAAGCATCTTGGGTAAGGGATAGTTAACCCACATTTAAAGTTACGTAACAGGCTGGGTGCGGTGGCTCATGTCTGTAATCCCAGCATTTTGGGAGGCCGAGGCAGGAGGATCCCTTGAGCCCAGGACTTTGAGACCAGCTTAGGCAACATAGTGAGACCTCGTAGCTACAAAACATTTTTTAAAATGTTTTTAAACATTAAAAATTAGCCAAGCTTGGTGGCTTGGGCCTATAGTCCCAGCTACTCAGGAGGCTAAGGCAGGAGGATGGCTTGAGCCCAGGAGGTTGAAGCTGCAGCGAGCCATGATCATGCCACTGCACTCCAGTATGGGCAACAGAGTGAGACCCTGTTTCCAAAAAAATAAAAAATAAAATAAAGTTATATAACAAAGCCTGATATTTGTAGTGTTTTCTAGGTAACAGAGTGCTTCATATGAGTTCATTGAATCTTAAACAACTCTGTAAGGTGGACATTTTAATGCACCTGTCATTAGGGTTAAACTTCGGTGTATGGAGTGAGACTTTTAATCAATAAAAAGTTTAATCTGAAAGGAAGGGGAAGGGTGGTAGAGGTGCCTGGGGGGGCAAGAAACAACTGTCTATAGAGTGCTATCCTAAAGACACCCATGAAGCCATGTTGTCATTCTGTCTAGACCCGCTGGACTGCACCCTAAGCCATGACATGTTGACTGTGCAAAAAGTCATTTAGCTGGGGGGATGCAAAAGGTAAACAAATATTGCATAAAGCAAATGGCTTTTGAAGTAATAATGATAACAATAATAAATGATCTGAATTTGAATCCTGATTCTGCTACTTAAACAATTCTGTGACATTGAGCAAGTTAACCCCCCCAGTCTTGAGTTTCTTTATCTTAATATAGTGTTCATGATATATTCCTTGTAAAGTTGTTCTGAGGATTAAAGAAGCATATATAAAGCAGCTGATATAGTGGCTGGTGCTGAAAAATAGTAAAATATTTTATTGCTAATAATAGATTTTTAAAAATACATTTAAAAACCAGTGGAGATGTATATCATTACTGAAAAAGTGATAATTCATTGCTATCTAGGTTGCAGTGAAATAGATACACTCAAATGCTGCTAGTGGTGTAGTAAAACAGACTTGAAAGCAGAAGGTCAATATGATGCAAGAGCCATAAAGACGTTTCCTTTAACTTCAATATCTGCTCCTGGAGCTTTAAATTAAGGAAATAATCTAAAATAAACCAAAAAAATTAGTATGTACAAAGGTACCCATCACAGTGTAGTTGCCAATAGTAAAACCCTGGGAATGACTGAATGATGACCCAAAGGAATGGTTAGGAATTTAGGGTTAGATCAGCAAGGCATTTTTTTTCTATTTTTTTTAGATGGAGTCTCACTGTGTTGCCCAGGCTGGAGTGCAGTGGTGCGATCTCAACTCACTGCAACCTCTGCCTGCTAGGTTCAAGCGAATCTCCTGCCTCAGCCTCCTCAGTAGCTGGGATTACAGGTGTGTGCTACCACGCCGGGCTAATTTTTAAATTTTTAGTAGAGACGGGGTTTCACCATGTTGGTCATGCTGGTCTCAAACTCCTGACCTTGTGATCTGCCTCTTCGGCCTCCCAAAGTGCTGGGATTACAGGCCTGAGCCACCGTGCCCCACCAGCAAGGCAAAATATTTAGCAGCTATTGCAAGTACTATGAAAACTCTTTGGATGCAGAGACACCCACATTTGCAAACATCCTGAAAGCCTGGTAGAGTGTGAAGACAGAAAAGAAAGCAAAGTGGCAGAAATACAGTTAAAAGGGCATGCGGCTACCAGAGGGGGCAAGCCTTATAGACGTTGTTCAGGATCATGGGTTTCATCCTAATTGCAATGGGAAGCCGCTGGAGAATTCTGAGCAGAGGGTGACATAACCAGAATGGTGGGTTTTAAATGATCCTTCCTTATAATGTGGAAAACTATTCTTTTAAATGCAAGTATGCAGACAAGGCATTATGCAAAAATATATTAGGGTGATTGCATAGAGAGTAGGGTTTTTTCTCCCTTGTCAAAAATTCCCCAATCCTATTTCTGACACTTCATATGAAAGCTGCATGTGCAGTCTTATTATTATTTTGCAAGCCTGGGGCTTAGGCAAAAAAAGACAAAAAATCCCTAATTCTGTTGACACAACATTCCCTACTTTAAAATAGAGAAAACAGTTATCCTACAGAGAGTAGCTGTGTTTTCTGTGAAACATTGTGACCCACAAATGTAGGAGACTTTATGCACAGAGTGGGGAGGCTTGGGAAGGAGGCTGTTATCTTACGAAATGGGCTACGGGGTGGGGTAGGAGGTGAAAGTGTGTTATCGACCTCGATCAGAGGTTCCTTTTCCAGTGGGTGATAAACCATCAAAAAGAGCTTCCTGTTGATGTTACAGATGTTATAACTTCACTTATCACTGTTTGATCTCCCCTTGCATCCTACCCTCGGGGCAGGAGTCTGTCAGCTCAAAGCAGAGATAAGGGGGCCACATGTCCCAGGGCTTGGCAGTTGGAGCCCTGAACCCAGACCTCAGTAGGAAGCATCAGCGTGCATCCATTCCCAGTAGCCTCTGAGCAGGAGCAGGCAAAGTGCCTTCTTTTTGAAATAGGGCATCACTGTGTCACCCAGGCTGGAGTGCAGTGGCATGATCATGGCCCACTGCAATCTCTGCCTCTGGCGCTCAAACGATTTTTTCACCTCAGCCTCCCGAGTAGCTGGGACTACAGGCGCATGCCACCACATCCAGCTAATTTTTTTGTACATACACACACACACACACACAGACACATACACAACATAGCAAAACCTCGTCTCTATATGTATGTTGCCCAGGCTGGTCTCAAACTCCTGGGCGCAAGCTATCTGTCTGCCTTGGCTTTCCAAAGTGCTGGAACTATAGGCTGAAGAGTCTTTTGGAGCAAATCATCTTCTCATCATCGGCAAGTGTTTGCATGTAGTAGGGAGTGGACACGATGCATGTATACACCATGCATATGTAACACAGCACCTTAATTCACTCATTTATCCATGCCACAAACATGTATCGAGTACATACTAGGTACAGGCACAATCCCGGCTGGTGGGGATACAGAGAACAAGACAGACTTCAATAATTCTGACTTTGCTATTTAAAGCAGAGTTGTGGATGACATGTAATACACAAAACCATGAGATTTTAGAGCAGAAAGGATGCTGGAAATGATCTAATCAAAAATTCTTACAATGAGATATAAGAAAAATGTAGTCCAGAGGGGATAAATGCCTCAGATTTTTAGGTCATTGAAGTTCAAGTCAAGTGGATTTTCTACTAAACTCTGGTGCATCTTATAAAGATAGAAGCATATTGCTGCAACGCAGTCCTAGCAAGAGTGTGCACAGAAGTGTAGCTTAATTAAAGGAATCATTATCTCTGATACATGATAAAAATGCCGCATCATTGTCCTTAATCAACTGAAGATCTCTAAAATGACACTGAAATATGTGTGTTCAAAGATCTTTAACAATCCTATGATCTTGTGAATCTTGGAGTAGCATCATGGAAGGTTCTGGTCCAAGAGTGGTCCACACAGAGGCTAGAGCTGTATGAATGTTACGTGACATTGGATGCTGCCATATCTACACTGGGTTCCTGTGAATGGATAATAGAAATAGCAGGCCAAGCATCTTGGCATGATCCCCACAGTTAGCTGTAGCTTGAATTGATTACTTAGTGTCCATGGCTGAGTCAGGAGCAGAGCGAAGTGTGTATTGACACTGGCAGGGCAAACCTAGAGCAGGTGGAGAGCCCAGTTAGGAAATCACTCCACATGGCTCCCAGTGTTCTGCTTTCCTCAAATCTTGAGTAATAAAGAGGCTTCATGTTTTTAACATGAACTATGCAAAGGGAAGCAAACTGCAGCAATAGACGTAGTTCCACAGTGAGCTGTGATACATCAACGGGTCATAAAACACTGAAAGGGACTCAGCCCAAGGGGTGGCTTTCTGACTTGCATTTAGAGAATAAAAATGTTAATAGCGGCTGGGCGCTGTGGCTCATGTCTGTAATCCCAGTACTTTGGGAGGCTGAGGCGGGTGAAGCACGATGTCAGGAGTTTGAGACCAGCTCCTGACCAGCATGATGAAACCCTGTCTCTACTAAAAATACAAAAATTAGCCAGGTGTGGTGGCACTCACCTGTAATGTCAGCTACTCAGGAGGCTGAGGCAGGAGAATCGCTTGAACCCAGGAGGCGGAGGTTGCAGCGGGCCGAGGTCGCACCATGGCACTCCAGCCTGGGCAACAGAGAGAGACTCCGTCTCAAAAAAAAAAAAAAAGTTAATAGCTACCATCTGTTGTTCACTACAGAAAGGACATTCTGTTAAGTGCTTCACTTACTTACTTATATTATTTAACCTTAAACAACCTTATGAGATTTAAAAAATATCAGATATTTATTATTAACCCAATTTTACAGATGAAAAAACTGACAATCAGAGAGGTTAAGTAACTTTTCCCAAGTCACCCAGTTGCCAAGTAGTGGAACCAGGATTGAAACCTGACTATATCTAACTCAGAAGCTATTACTCAAATTGCACCAGGCAATTTGTTCACAGCAAGGGACTGACATCATAGAGGCCTACAAATCTCTGTTTTCTTTGTCTGTTTTATATCTGGGTCATTTTATCCTCCTCCCATTCTTCTTTCCTCTTAAGTTTCTATTTTGGGATTTTAGGCCCTCCAAAGAGCCTGAAATCAGCCTTCCTTCCCTTCCTGCTGTTATCCCACAAACTGTAACAGCCATTTTTGGTTGGCCTCATTTGATGCTTAATGACAAAGAAGTTGTCCTCAAAAATTTATTCTTATCTATTGCCCAACGTCCCCTACTCACTTAATCTTTGAATACATCACATATAGATTCACAGATGAGCTAGGTTGGAAAGTATCTTTGCTAATATCTAGAGACCTACTTCTTCATTTTACAGAGGAAGAACATGAGTCCCTTTAGGGAAAAACAAATTGTCTGAGCTCATGTGGCACATTGGTGCCAGAGCTGGGACTTGATCTTAGGCCTCTTAACTCCTCCTTTAGTGCTCTTTCCACTCTACCTGGCTGCGTGTGTATTTGTGGTATCTAAATGTGTGCCACAGGGAGAGAAAGAGATTACTAATCTCCTCCATCTACACAAACTGTCTGTACCAGGGAGCTGGGCAGAGCATGGCCAAAAGAGACAGGAGGCATTATCTCTCCCTTCACCCTGCTGTACTCAACGAGCGAGATTGCTATCTTCTGAGTGGCAGTGCTCCCGCCTTGTTGGAAATGTTGAAACACTTGTGACTGACCTCCAGTGACACAGAAGCTTCTGGGTAGGGGCTGGAGAAGGGTCGGGGAGATATTTCCGTTAGGACATCGCTGAAACACAGACTGGGATCAAACTGTGCTCATAGTCCTAAGGGTAAGTACTGTCTATGGAGACAGGATTTTAAATTAGTTTGAAGTGTGCATTTGTTTGCGAGCATATATGTGTAGAAGTTTTAGAGAGGATTCTCTGTTTATGTGCTGAGATTCCAGGGTGCGGAATTCCACTTGCAATCAGCTTACAGTGAGCCTAAGATTACACTTTATGGACATGAATTTCTTGTGCCTGAGACCTGACATCTGTCTACACTAGCAACAGCAGCCATTGGGGCTTCGGCCAGAAGGTACATGGATTTTGGGTCCAGCAAAAACTGGTTCCAAATCCTCACTCTGCTAAACTTTTGTGAGCCTCAGTTTCCTCATCTGTAAAATGGGCATAAAACACCCACCTTACAGGGTTGCTACATGGATTCAGACAATGTACATTTAGTGCCAGTACAGGCTCCACCAATAACAGCTATGAAGTTTCCTTTTTAAGTCAAATGGGAACCAGATCTCACAGAATATCTTCCCCCATAAACATCCTATAGGAATGTTTTCCCTGAGAAAACACTCTGAGCAGCAAAGGACTAGTATGTGTGGAGGGAAGAGAGCCAGCCTGGGAGTTTTAAAATTTTATGAATAGAGGTCAGAGAATGTGCACCATGAAAGAAAAAAGCCATGCCAGCATCTGGACAAGGAAAAGCTAATAACAGCACAAAACAGAAACAGTCGACCCTTATATAGAGCTTAGTATCTGCCGAGGACTGTTCAAAGAATTTTACGCAGATTGGCCCATTTATTCCTCACACCTAAAGACGTAAGTGCTACTAACAGCCTTATTTTCCAGTTGAAGAAACTGAGGCGCCATGGTGTTAAGGGACTTGACTGAATCAGTGAAAGAAAACTCTTCTGGAGAATTTCATTACAGAAGAGTTAGATCAGGCTTTTCTCCATCTCTCCAACCTGGGAGGGGCTCAGACAATGCGGTGCTGGGAAGCATGTATCAGGTACTCAAGGAAGACTTGTTGATTGGCTGATCCTGCTTCTCGTTCTGTGTGTTGACCTATTTTGTGAGCTTTGGCAAACTACCCAATTAAATGCCTTGAGTAGGATCTGTTACATAATTGGTGGCACACAACGCAAAATGAAAATCTGGGGTCCCTTACTCAAAAATTGTTACGAATTTAAAGATGACAGCCACAAAGCATCAGGCCAATCATGGGGTCCTTGTGAGCACAGGGCCCTACTAGTCTGCACAGGTTACAAGTCCATGAAGCCAGCACTGGCCCTGAATCCTGACAAGGAGGCAGGAATGGTACTGGAAGTTTCCATGGTCTCATGTAGCCCTCCTAATAATTCTGAGCTCCCCCCAACCCCCGGGTTGGAGAGATGGAGAAAGGCCTGGTCTAACTCTTCTGTGCTAAAGTTCTCCAGAAGAGTTTTCTTTCACTGAATCAGTCGAGTCCCTTAACACCTTGCTGCCTCAGTTTCTTCAACTGGAAAATAAGTCAAATAAAGAGACATTTGACTGCCCAATTGAAAGAGGAGAAAAGCGAAACTCTGAGACATTAAGTGGCTCCCCCAAGGTTAAACATTTATTATATGCAAATTGATTTAATAGCAATGTGTACAGAGTGTTACACATTGAAATGCTTTTTCCATCCCTATCCCTGCCGTGTTTTTACGTACTGTGCTATGAATTGCGGAGTGTAATATATGCAGTCCCAGCCAACAAGATGCATAATCTATAGAGGGTGCATAATCTGTAGAAGGTGCCTAGTTTCCCTAAAATTTAGCAGGCCAATCGATGAAACAGAATAATTTGACCCCTTCTAATTCATCTGGAGCTTTGTGGGAACTAGCAAAATGAATCCATGAATACTGCTTGAGTAGCTTGCAACTTTTTGTGTTCTTGCTGATTTAGTCTTGGAACTAAGTTGCATCCACATTGCATTCATCTCTAGTAGTTCCTTGCAAAACTGCTTTCCCCAAAATTACTAATTAGAAACTCTGGATGACTTGCTTTCCTGCTAGAAATTGGCAGTGCTTGCACCTAGAAATAAATGTGACTGGAGGTGTGGTTTATCTAGTTGAGGCTCAAAGTTGCTCTTTCTCACTTTTGAATCTCACTTTTTAGTCCATTTCAGAAAAATTCTAAAATAACAAAATGTCAGAACTGAATTGATTTAGCCCACTCCTCTCATTTTATAGACAGGGGAACTGAGGCTCAGGGAGAGGAAATAATGTGCCCAAGGAATGTATAAAGTTGTTGAACTGGAATGTTCATCTAGGTTCTCATGCCATATTCCAGATGAGCCCTAGCCTCATAACCACCTGGGGTGAGGACCCTGACATGGTGACCAGAGCCAAAGAGAATCCAGGAAAGATTTCTCTGATATGAGAATGAAGGTGATCCTGTAACCCTCTGTTGTCCTTTTCCCCATGATATTTGGCACACTCCATCCCTCCCTTTCCTCAGCCTGGCGTTTTGACCTTCTCTATTCCCTGGTGAGTGACTCATTGACAGTCATAGGAACAGGCATTGTTTAGGACCAGGGACATCGCAGGACCCCATGGTTTCGTACACTGTGTTGCTCCCACCTGAAAATCATGAGTGGGCCCAGTGTTCTTACAAGGCCTTATGGAAATGGGTGTGTTTATACATTTAAGACAATTTTGAGTTGAATGTTCTGGTCCAAGGATCATCCTCTGGTACCTATATATGCCAGGCCCTCTACTGAGCATTTTCCTGTTTTTTTTTCTTTTTCTGAAGAATGGGGTCTCACTATGTTGTCCAGGCTTGTCTCAAGCTCCTGAGCTCAAGCCAACCTCCCACCCCTGCCTTTCTAATTGCTGTGATTACAGGTGTGAGCCACCACGCCCGGCCAGCATTTTCAATACTGAATGCAATGTGGTGAAGGCTCTGGCCTCAAACCATCTGTGTCTGAATTATGTCCCCTCCACGGGGGATTACAACCTGGTTTTCTCATATGTAAAATTGGGAGAACAATAGTATCTACCTCATAAGGTTGTTATTCTGAGGATTAAATAAGATAATTGATGCAAAATGTTTTTTATGATATAGCACATACATGGTAAACACAAGACGTGTGAGTTAAAAACATGAAACAGGCTGGGCACGGTGGCTCACACCTGTAATCCCAGCACTTTGGGAGGCTGAGACAGGAGGATTGCTTGAGCCCAGGAGTTTGAGAACAGCCTGGGCAACATGGCAAGATCCTGTCTCTCAAAAATTAAAAAATTAGCCAGGCATGGTGGTATGCACCTGTGGTCCCAACTACTCGGGAGGCTGAGGTGGGAGGATTGCTTGAGCCCAGGAGGTCGAGGCTGCAGTGAGCCGTGCTTGCACCACTGGACACTCCAGCCTGGGCAACAGAGCAAGACCCTGTCTAAAGAAAAGAAAAACCCACAAAACAGATGTCATCCCCATTTTACAGATATAACCCTGAAGCTGGAAAAGTAAAGCAACTCACAGCTAGGAAGGCCATAGCTGATGTCCTAAACACAATCTATTTGGCCACTGAGTCTCTACACCTGACCATTTGCCTATACTCGCTTGTGTGGTCGCTTTGCAGTATACTCAGCTGTTTCCACATTATGCTATTTACATGTGGTCAAATATAAATCCAACTTTGTTAGAAGACAATCAATTCCACTAAAGCTGTCCCCAAAGCCAGGGTTGGCAAGACAACTTTAGCTAGATTGCTCTTCTCCCCTCCTTCCATCCATCTGTTGCCTGTCCTTCAAATAATTCCCTCTCAGTGACTCTTCCCTGAACATTCTGTCTCTTGGGGATCTCTTTTTCCTCTGAAAT
Source organism: Homo sapiens (assembly GCF_000001405.40). NCBI lineage: Eukaryota > Metazoa > Chordata > Mammalia > Primates > Hominidae > Homo > Homo sapiens. Next base: position 206,087,431 of record NC_000001.11, read on the forward strand.
ATAATGTATTATTGATACCACTCCTTCTGACAATTCATTATTCTTCACCTGCGGCATCTCTTCTGCTTTTTGACTTTTCACATATTAATGCCTTGATTTTCCAAGTGCAAATGAACTCTTGAAAGTACAAATGGCATTTTCTCCTTCACACCATCAAGAGTATTTCACACAGGACCATGTGCATGGACCACTCGATAAATATTTGATTGATTGAAATTCAGACATTTAGGTGATCATCTCAATGTTCTATTAACATGGTGAGATATAATTTATTTAGATAAATTTGGTGTCATGCTGATTTAAGGCACTCAGAAAATCTAGGCTTATTTCAATGTCTGAAAACTTTTTTGGCTATAGTTAATAACAACGTATTGTATTCTTGAAAACTGCTGAGAGTAGATTTCAAATGTTCTCACTACAAAAAATGATAAATATGTGAGGTTATGTAGCTGTCAATTCATTTGATTTAGCCATTCCACAATGTATACTTATTTCGAAACATGTTGTACACAATAAATATGGATAATTTTCACCAATTAAAAAAATAGGCCGGGTGCAGCGGCTCATGCCTATAATCCTAGCACTTTGAGAGGCTGAGGAAGATCACTTGAGCCAGGAGTTCAAGGGTGCAGTGAGCTTTGATCCTACCACTGCACTCCAGCCAATTAGGAAAAATTTTTAATTTATTTTTTATTAACTAATTAAACAATAAAAAATAAATATTTTTCTTAATTGGAAAAAATGCATGTTAATTGCAGAAAACTTTGAAAATGACAGAAAGTATAACAAATGAAATAAAACATCCTCAATCCCAATACCTGGTTTTGTTAACACTTACATGTATCTTCTTTCATTCCCTCCATATGAATAAAGTGCATTTAAATAACATCCTAAACTTATTTTCTATAGATTCATATTTATGAATAAATCTATATTTGATAAACAAAATTATTGTTAATGAAATATTCTGGACCACGTGCAGTGGCTCACACCTGTAATCCCAGCACTTTGGGAGATTGAGGTGGGTGGATCACTTGAGGCCAGGAGTTCGAGACCAGCCTGGCCAACATGGTGAAATGCTGTCTCTACTAAAACTACAAAAATTAGCCAGGCACGGTGCTGCACACCTGTAATCCCAGCTACTCGGGAGGCTGAGGCAGTAGAATTGCTTGAACCTGGGAGGCGGAGGTTGCAGTGAGCCAAGATTGCGCCACTGCACTCCAGCCTGGGGACAGAGCGAGACTCCGTCTCAAAAAACAAACAAATGAAAGAAATATTCTGGATTTGGGGAGCTGACACATGAATTGGGTGTGTTATTACTGAACTACTATGATGAGAAAGAAGTTTAATGACCCAGAGTTTTCTCTCTTTATAAATTTTCATTCTTTTTATGTTCACTTTTTTTTTTGAGACAGGGTCTCACGTTGTCGCCCAGGCTGGAGTGCAGTGGTGCAACCACGGCTCATGTAGCCTTGATCTCCCAGGCTCAAGTGATCCTCCTGCTTCAGCCTCCCAAGTATCTGGGAGTACAGGTGCACTCCACCAGGCCCAGCTAATTTTTTAACCCATCTCCTGTTTCCCTCAAGAATACTTTTGTCTCTTACCCTCATGTAACATCATATACATTTCTGCTACATGATGATTAGAGACAAGTTCTATTTAGAAATAACTCCCAAGAATGGTTTTTATATTTTATTTTCATATTGAAAATGAGTCAGATTTGCTTCAGCCTCAAAGAGAATTAGTTGTACTTTTTTTTTTTCTAAATAGAAAATGGGTTAAAACATTTTTTGTAGAGAGGGGGATCTCACTATGTTGCCCAGGCTGGTCTCAAACTCCTGGGCTCAAGCGATCCTCCCACCTTTGCCTCCCAAAGTGCTGGGATTACAGGTATGAGCCACCACGCCCAGCCTTATGTTCACTTTTTACAAAATTGTGATTATATTTTATGTAGCTAAATACAATTGCATTGTATATTTTCGTAGAACAGATTTCTTTCTCCAGATGAGTTCTTCCTAAATGTAATTTTAAACGGCCATATGGTCTTCCATTCAAAGCCTCAATCCTCATTTCTTCAGTTTTTGTTTTTTTCTTTAGATTGCTTCCCATTTTTCACTTTTATAATGACGCTGTACAGAGCTCTTTTGCATAATAGCTTTGGTCTGTTCTGGATTGTTTGTAAATTGTGTGCTCTACACTCTTTACCCATTTGCTGTTTGGGGGCCCTAGTGTTTTTCTTAAAAATTTATATAAACCAAAGATGCAAAATCTTTAAAATAGTGGTTTGCCATACTAGTTTCAGTTTTTTTTTTTCTGTTTGCCTTTAAATTTTGTTAACATGTGAAGTTCTAATAGTTTAAAGCCAAATCTATTTTTCATGTATTTCTTTGTGATTTCTTCCATTGCATATAAACTGAGAAAGTTTTCTCTCATCTGGGGATTTAACAAATATTATTAAATATAGTAATATTCAATCCTAATTTCTTCTAATTTTAATGGCTCGATTTTAAAATATTTACCTCCTTAATCCGTTTGGAATTCATTTTGCTATCTAGGGTCTGGATCTAATTTATTTTCTTTTCCCTTACAGGTAGCTAACCCATTGTCTTGTGGGCAACATTTGTTAAATAATGATTTCCTTTCCTCCACTTGCTTTGTGAACTACTCTTATAACATTTATTGTACACACAGGCATATTTTTTCAAGTCTACACTTCTCTTAAAAAGTGGTAGTCAGAAATCTACCTTACCACAATTCCTTTTCTTTTCTTTCTTTTTTTTTTTTTTTTTTTTTTGAGACAGAGTCTCACTCTATCCCCCAGTCTGGAGTGCTGTGGCACAATCTCGGCTCACTGCAATCTCGTCTCCTAGGTTCAAGCGATTCTCCTGCCTCAGCCTCCAGAGTTGTTGGGATTACAGGTGCCCACCACCTCACCCAGCTAATTTTTGTATTGTTTTAATAGAGACAGGTTTCACCATCTTGGCCAGGCTGGTCTCGAACTCTTGACCTCAGGTGATCCACCCTCCTTGGCCTCCCAAAGTGCTGGGATTACAGGTGTGAGCCACCGCGCCTGGCCCACAATTCCTCTTCAAATTGCAATTTCCACTCTTTTTGATTGTTCTTGTGTTTTCCCAGATACATTTTAGAGTAACCTCAAGTTATAAAAAACTCACCATAATTTTTATTAGAATTATATTAGGCCAATAAATTAACTTTAAAAGTGATTTTTAAGTGTTACAGCTTCTCAACCTGAAATAGCATCTTTTTATGAGTTTGTCTTTCATGTCTCTCAATAAATTTTTATTATTTTCTTCAAAATAATTTTCTTATAATTAATATTATATTTAGATATTTCTATTGTTGTAGTTGCTAAATCTCATGGTATTTTTCCCCATTTTATTTTATGTCTGTTGCTAATATAATAGTAAGAATAGCTGGTAATTTTAGAATATTTATTATATCTACAGGACTTTACTGAGCAATCTCATTAATTCCTCTAGTTTTGCAATGCATTCTTTTGGATTTCTAGGTGTAAAATCATATATTTTGCAAGTAAGAATGAATTTGACTTCTCCTTGCCCAAAACTGTACTTTCATTTTGTTAATGTAGCAGCTGACAGCTCAGGCTCCAGCACCAGCCTGCCTGAGCACAAAGGCTGATGAACTGTTTTTGTCATCTTGAGCATATTAGGTAGCCTTTCTGTGTCTTAGTTTTGTCCTCTGTTAATTAAAAAATAATAATAGTATCTACCTCCTGGGGTGGTTGTGAGAATTGGATGAGTTAATGTATATAAAAATTTCTGCCACATAAAACATGCTCAGTAAATATTCAATACCCTTATTATTATTAGAGATGGGAGGAACTTTCCATTTCCAGAAATTATAACTTCTAGTACTCATTTCGGATAAGGGTTGCAGCATACACCCTTGCTCTCAAATAGCTGCAAAATAATTTACCATTTTGTCAGATACTGATTATTGGTGCAGTAATCAATACTGCACTGACTTACTATTCTTTATTATAGTAAGAAAAAATCCTCATACTTTTATTAACTTCAAAAATCAGTAATAAGTATTCAGTTTATCCAGTACATTTTGGCACTTTACCAAGATCATAATTTTAAAAATTTGCCCTATCAATATTGTATTTGTATTATATAAAAGACAGCTTCCTGACATGATTGGGATTTAGGATTTTGAGTCAGTTGGTTTAGGAAACATGAGTCTTCCAGCTGGCAACGTGGCAAATTTTTCAATCTTCCTAAGCCTTAGTTTCCTCATCTATGAAGTAGTGGTAATGTCTATTTTTGTAGAGTGAGAGGATTAAAGCACATGGAAAATACCCAATGTTTGTTTCCATCTTTGTAATAATCAATTTCCTCAACATCCTGGGCTAACTTCTTGATATTACCATATATATATACCTCCATATTCATAAATGAGATGAACCCAAGAGTTTCTGTCTTCCTGTGCCCTGTATTGGCTTGTAGAATAATAATTATGTGTTCCTTAAAAGTTTGAAACTCCTCATTTGTCAAACCATTTGGACAGGTATTGAGGAGGTAAGTCTGATAATGCTTCTAATTTATTTATTTATTTATTTCTCTTTCTTTCTCTCTTTCTCTCTCTCTCTTTCTCTCTCTTTCTTTCTTTCTTTTCTTTCTTTTCTTTTTAATAGAGATGGGGTCTTGCCTTGTTGCCCAGGCTGATCTCCAACTCCTGGGCTCAAGCTATTCAACTGCCTCAGCCTCCCAAAGTGCTAGGATTACAAGTGTGAGCCACTGGGCTCAGCCAATGCTTTTAATTTCTAAATAATAATAGCTTGCATTCATTGGATGCTTAGTACTATGTGCCAAAAGTTCTAATAACTATTTCACATAGCTCATCTAATTTCATCCTCAGAAGTAGTTATCATTTATATTTGTCTTATCTAGTCCCGAAATTAGTTACTGTTCCCATCTTACATATTAAAAGACTGAGGCTTTGAGAGGTTAAATAGCCAGGCCAAGCTCATGCAGAGAATGAGCTGGGATTTGAACCCAAGCAGTCTGACTCCAGGTTCTTTGTCTTTAGTGGCTAGATACCATGCTCCTTCCTAAACTTATTTCTTGTTATTTTGGTTTGGTTTTGGTCTAAGCTTTCCGTGCCATATGGAATCAATTTTGTTAATTTATACTTTTCTAGGAAACTATCCATTTTACTGAGATTTCATCAAAAAAAATTTTGTAGTCTAACTTTTTTTAAAACCTCTTCTTTTTTTTGGTACCCCATTTTTGTTGAAAAATGTTAATCCCTTCTGTTTCTGAGATTAATAGTCCCTATATTATTAATTTGGTTTATTTGTGTTTCCTCCTTTTCTTGATTATTGGAAACTGCATATTAAACTGGGAGAGAAAGTCTAGCAATGTGGAGGAGGCTGAATGTTACAAAATGGAAATAAAGATTTTTTTATTTTTAAATTTTCCATTTCCATCCAGCTTTGCTTTCTTTTCGCCTTACTTCACCCCAGCCTTTAAAGAGCAGGATGCTCAGGGCTGAAAAGAGCCTTAGGAGTACTTTGCCAAGCTCCCTAATTCACCAGGGCCTAGAGGGGACATCTCCCTGTCCAAAGTCACACCGTTAGCAAGTGACAGAGCCAGGAGAAGGCAGGCCCTAGCTCCCTTCTTTCCCCTTCTTTTGTTCTCCCTTCTTTTTGTTCTCTTTCCATTATACCTTAGCTAATGTTAAAAACAACAAATTAATGGAGACAGCAAAGAAAGTTTACAGCTACTTCATTTGAAAAGATTAATAAAGTCAGTTGACAATGTTGATTATAATTACTTTGATCCATATGATTTTTCTTTTTTTTTTTTTCCTTTTCAGACAGAGTCTTGCTCTGTCACACAGGCTGGAGTACAGTGGCGTGATCTCAGCTCACTGCAACCTCCGCTTCCTGGGTTCAAGCAATTCTCTGCCTCAACCTCTCGAGTAGCTAGGATTACAGGTGCCTGCCACCATGCCCGGCTAATTTTTGTATTTTTAGTAGAGACGGGGTTTCACCATCTTGGCCAGGCTGGTCTTGAACTCCCGACCTCATGATCCACCCACCTCGGCCTCCCAAAGTGCTGGGATTACAGGTGTGGGCTACTGCGCCTAGCCTAATCCATATGATTTTTCATAGAAATCATCTTCTATTGTGATCTTGTTTTAAACCGTTCTTTCTAGAATAAACCTATCCAAAGAAAGCATGGTGTATGGCAGGAAAGTGGGCATCTTTTTATTCTCCCCCTGATATTACGCTGTACCTATTGGAAAGGCCATGAGAAAGCTCCTGTATCAGTGGAGGAGGGAAACTTAATAAAATGGAATCCAGCCTTAACTCAAGTCTGAAGCAAACAAAATAAATGCTCTTAGCACTGGGACGAAGTAGGGTTTTTTTTGGTCGGGGGAGGAGGGACAGGGTTTTACTCTGTCACCCAGGCTCTTCTCAAACTCCTGGTCTCAAGTGATTCTTCCACCTCGCTCTCCCAAAGTGCTGAGATTACAAGCATGAGCCACCGTGCCCAGCCTAAAGTTTGGTTTTGAGGTGCCTGGCAGGGCACTACATTAGTGTGGGGGCTGGATGTCAAAATTCAGCACAGTGGAAGAGGACAGAACCGTCCCTACCTCGAGGATGGAACGAGGCACACCAAACCCTCACACAGTCCATGCGCTTTTTCACAACATAATTACCTTAAATTGCCCATTTCCTGGTTATTTGGTGTGTGTGTGTGTGTGTGTGTGTGTGTGTCACGTGCACGCGCAAATGAGCAGATGTCTCTGCTGATTGTCTGATCAGCAGTCTGCAATTAGACCCCAAGGAACAACCTGCTCATTGTGGTTAGGGGCCATTAGCCACTTAAATAATGACATCTGTCATAATTTTCATACCTTGGATCTTATCTCCAAACTGTACTCAAAACAAATGCCTAAGTTTTCTAAAATAGACCAATCCAATTTTTAATAGTTCTAGTCACCATCGTGGTGGAGGATTTTAGGGTTGAATAATACCTAATAATTACTGAGTGCCTCGTATATGCCTGGAATTGTATAAAGGTCTTTACAAACAGCATAAATCACTGAGCTCATGCAAGAACTCTGTGAAGTAGGAAACTATTATTCTTCTCACTTTATAGATACTGAAATTATTAAACTGAGACACTGAATTCAATAATTAACATCTAGAAGGGAACTGAACTGAAATTAGTATTTAAGAATGTTGGACGTCCGTATTATTTACTGTTTTCATTTGGATGAGCTGCTGTGTGTCATTTGGCTAGTAAGGGAGACAGGGTCTTACTCTGTCACCGGGCTCTTCTCAAACTCCCGGCCTCGGTGATCCTTCCACCTCGCTATCCCAAAGTGTACGCTCTGAGTATATGCTCAGAATATATTAAAATGTGGAAGATGGTGTAGGCAATCTAGTTTTGTATAAAGGGCCAAAATAAGGCATTAATCTTAAAATAATGGAACATATATCAAATTCAGTGATTCTCAACTGAGAGCAAACCCTCCTACCTCAGGGGGCTTTGGAAATGTGTGGGGTCATTTGGGGTCCCTTTGGCCATTACACTGGCCTGTTACACTGGGGGGCTTTCAGGAGGCTCCACAACCTGCCGTCTGCAAGACAGTTTTAGACAATAAGGACTTGTCTGGCTCCAAATGTCAGATACTACCGAGAAACACTGATCAAGGGCAATGGTAGGAATTCGAAATGATACCGTAAAACTCAAAGGTGGCAAACTCAAATGCCTTTAGGGATTAGTCAGGAAGTGAACAAATCATGTCCCAGTTTAGGGGCATACAAATTCAAATCACTAAAGCACTTCATCAGACAAAAATTAGGTGTCAAATGTGGCCTGTGGATCGCCTGGTTGGAGCCTTTTAGGGGAGGTTTTTCCTGACCAAAAAAACATGTTTACGATATATTAAGAGTAAAAAAATAGCTAACAATCTGTATGATTCCATGTTTTAAAGACATTGTCTCTGTGTACACACATTATTTGCATATATACATGCACTTATATCCATGAAAATATTTAGAAAATTTTCTGGAAGGATATGGAATAAGATTTGGGGTAATTTTGGCTGGGCGCGGTGGCTCACGCCTGTAATCCCAGCACTTTGGGAGGCCAAGGCAGGCGGATCACCTGAGGTTGGGAGTTCGAGACCAGCCTGACCAACATGGAGAAACCCCGTCTCTACTGAAAATACAAAATTAGCAGGGCATGGTGGTGCATACCTGAAATCCCAGCTACTTGGGAGGCTCAGGCAGGAGAATCGCTTGAACCTGGGAGGTGGAGGTCGCAGTGAGCCGAGATCGTGTCATTGTACTCCAGCCTGGGCAACAAGGCAAAACTCCATCTCAAAAAAAAAGATTTGGGGTAATTTTTTTTTTTTGATACAGGATCTCACTCTGTCACCCAGACTGGAGTGCAGTGGCATGATCATGGCTCACTGCAGCCTCAACCTGGACTCGGGTGATCCTCCCACCTCAGCCTCCTGAGTAGCTGAGACTATAGGCACGTGCCAGGCACACCTAGCTAATTTTTTTGTATGTTTTTAGAGATGGGGTCTTGCTATGTTACCCGGGCTGGTCTTGACCTCTTAGACTCAAACAATCCACCTGCATCGGCCTCCCAAAGCGCTGGGGTTATAGGTATGAGCCACTGTGTCCGGCTCAATTTGGGGCGATTTTCTAAAACGTGTTGCTCATTCATATTTTTAATTCTTTGACTACAAATGTCTACTAGTTGTGTAATTTTAAATAAATAAAGTAGAAGAGGAGCCTTAAAAAATAAAAGCTTTGAGTGTAGTATTGGAAGACAGCCCAGGCAACCTACTGGCCAACCCCCTCAAGGGGAGAATCATGTCTGTGATTAAGGACAAATGAGATATTCAATATTAGACAATCGATACTAAAGCACCAGAATTCCTTTAAAAATGGAACATTGTTGTTTTCTCAGACACACTGGTCTAGCTTCTAGCCCCCTTCCACAATTTTCATTTCTTTCACGATACAATAAAGCTCTTCTGGTAAAGTCCAGTCTTCCTTGTGCAGCTGCCCTGGCAGGGGTCTTGAGGAACCCCAGATGAGGCTTGAGAAATCAGCATCTGTACTGAAATTTATCTTAGGGGGGCTTATCCAAAATTAGACAAGAGCAGGACATTTTCAAGACAGCTCTGCCCCTTTTTCAATCAAGTCACCAAATCCTTCAAGAAATCCCTGTCTTGCTTTATTGCAATCATGCTTGTGTTTTCTTTCCAGTGTGTTGGCTCTACACTTTTTATTTTTTATTTTGTGCACAAGTCCCCTGTTTTTTTTTTTTTTGGTTTTTTTTTTTGAGACAGGGTCTTGCTCTGTAACCCAGGCTGGAATGCAGTAGCACCATCTCACTTCACTGAAGTCTCGACCTCCTGGGATCAAGCGATCCTCCCACCTCAGCCTCCTAAGTAGCTGGGACCACAGGCACATGCCACCATGCCGGGATAATTTTTATATTTTTAGTAAAGACGAGGTTTCGCCATATTGCCCAGGCTGGTCATGAACTCCTAGGCTCAAGTGATCTGCCCACCTCAGCCTCCAAAAGTGCTGGGATTACAGGGGCAAGCCATCCTACCTGGCCCAAGACACTTTTGACTGAGCTTTCATTGTGGAGTTTGCTGATCATTGGGCAATATCGGATTTTTCTATCCATTTGTCTGAGGACTCTGAGGAGGTGAGAGACAGGTAATTTCCTGGAGTCTTTTCTCGCTCGCTGTCTGGGTCAGTCCCCAGGGTCCCTCCCTCCTGCCTCCCTGCAGCCCTCCTTACCAGCAACTAAGTCACAGCTGTCCTACAGAAAGAATCCATAAGCCCTGCTGCTAACAAGGTGACCTGTGGCGCTTCTTGGCACTGGATGCATGGACGAATGGAGAGAGGGCTCCAGCACAAACAGGAAGGGGAATTCTCTAATCTAGAACATTGCTGCTTTTCACTCCCCACCTACCCCTTTCACATGCTGAATCTATAACAAATAAGGAACTCATATCTGGATTCTGAATCCACTTTTATAAACGAAACTAAACAGAAATCTCTGGGAGTGAAAATGTTAAGTGCACTTTACTCATCAAGGTTCTTTAGGAGAAGTGTCTAGAATGTATCATGTAGGAAAGTGGGGACTGAAGCAAGTATGATGAATAAACTGGGCATGTGTCACAATTGATCCTCAAGTAGCTGAGTTTGCCCAAGGGAAATTTGTATAAAGAGCCCTGGAGTCCTGACCAGCTCCTTACCTCTTGCAGATCTCCAGCACCCTGCCGGTGGCACTACTGAGAGACGAGGTGCCAGGGTGGTTCCTGAAAGTGCCTGAGCCCCAACTTATCAGCAAGGAGCTCATCATGCTGACAGAGTGAGTGGGCCCAACAAGAGCAGGAGCAAGGTTCCCACCAAGCTAACTGGTGTAGCTGTCTTCCAAGCACACATAGCACCCTTCCTGGCTGCCCCAGCCTTATTGTCCAGAGAGGCAAAGGGACCTACCCTGGGACACGCAGCAATGCCAGATGTCTGCCTCCAGCTAGGACAGGGATAGGTTTGCAATTGTATTCACATCCTTGCAATCTCTGACTTTGCCCCTTTTTCTTTCCCAACAGAGTCATGGAGGTCTGGCATGGCTTAGTGATCGCGGTGGTGTCCCTCTTCCTGCAGGCCTGCTTCCTCACCGCCATCAACTACCTGCTCAGCAGGCACATGGGTAACTGGCTCAGCATCCTCTTCCCTCCTAGTCACTCTCAGAGACCATTCTCGAGCCTCCAGCAGGACAAGACCCCTTTGGAGTTCCCAAACGTCACTCAAAAACCTACCAGAGGACCCACCGGCCAAATTCCTTCCCACCGCTCCCCCTCCCCCCAATAACTGTATCTGGGTAATCCCCACTCTGACCTCACCTTTTAACCAACTATTTCTGGCTGGAAGTGGCCATCCACATCCGTCTACTACCCAGACCTTCTGCCTAGACACAGCTTTTGCAATGCCTACGAGGAAGTGCTCGTGTAACCTGGTCTAATTAATTTTCTTCATCCCTGTTAAAGGACTGAATATGAAGAAATGTCCTTGAATTACAACAGAAGGAAATATGGTTGGACTTAGAGATTAGTTTAAATTCTTGAACTGATAAACAATAGAAGGTAGTGAAGCTCGGTCCTGGAAAGGCATTTCAATTAGGGAAAATAAAACAATGCTGCTTTGGTTGTGCTAAGAGAAAGGACGGGGCAAGATGATGTTTTGAGGGTCTTTCTAGTTAAGTCTACCTTCATTCATTCATTTGTTCATTCATTCATTCAGCAGATATTTCTTGAGCATCTAAGACACTCTCTGGGCCTAGGCTACACAACAGGGAACAAAACAAAAATTCCTACCCCCGGAATCTTTCATTCCATGTGACAACAAACAAGATAAACAAGTAAAACATGTATATGCTAGATTATGGTAAGTGCTAGGGAGGAAAAATGGAACAAGGGAGTTGATACAGCTTGGTGGATGGCTGGCATCCCCAAAAGGCTAACCTTTGAGTATAAACTTGCAGGGAGTGAGGCGTGAACTCTACCTGCAAAGGCCTGAAGGAGGAACGTGTTAGGCACATGCTAGCAAGAGCAAAGAGGCTGGGCAGCTGGAGCAGGCAGAGAGAAGCAGGAGAAAGCCAGAGAGGAAGGAGGAGTGAGGCCTCGGAGGCTGGGACTTGGCTTTTTCCAAGTGAGGCGTGGAACCATGGCAGGGTTTTGAGCACAGCAGTGCTGAGGTTTGAAGGGATCTTTCTGAAAGGTTTGCTTTACTGAGGGCAGTGTTCAACAGGCGCTGATTCAAGAGCCGATGTGCCTAACCCAGGCAGCTTCCACTTTTTTTTTTTTTTGAGATGGAGTCTCACTCTGTCCCCCAGGCTTGAGTGCAGTGGCACAGTCTCGGCTCGCTGCAACCTCTGCCTCCCAGGTTCAAGCAGTTCTCTTGCCTCAGCCTCCCTAGTATCTGACATTACCGGCACGCATCATCATGCCCAACTAATTTTTGTATTTTTAGTAGAGATGGGGTTTCACCATGTTGACCAGGCTGGTCTCGAACTTGTGACCTCAAGTGATCCATTTACCTCAGCCTCCCAAATTGCTGGGATTACAGGCATGAGCTACTGCGCCTGGCCAGTTTCCACTTTTGATCCCTGCCCTCTCCCTTCCAGCCCACAAGAGTGAACAGATACTGAAAGCGGCCAGTCTCCAGGTTCCCAGGCCCAGCCCTGGCCACCATCATCCACCTGCTGTCAAAGAGATGAAGGAGACTCAGACAGAGAGAGACATCCCAATGTCTGATTCCCTTTACAGGCGTGAGTAAGGGGTTGGAGGGAGAACTTGTCTAGGGACTAACTTTGCTCTCTCTGGACACCCAGGACCTCCCTGCAGCAACCCCATGGGCCCAAACCTCTAGCCTGAGGATTCCTCACAGCCACATCAGGACAGCCTTGCCAGCCTACTTTTTTTCAGAAAGGTGTTTTATTCTATTTCGTGGGGAAGATCATTCTGAGTTTGTGTGGGTCTAAGTTCTTTCCCGGGTTTAGTCGTGTGCAAATGATTGCAGGCGGCTTGGGAAATGTCCCTGCTCTTCTCTTTGTAAAGCCATGGCATCTTTTCTTCGGATTGATCAGCTAATGGTGGAGTTAAAATTTCACCTGCCTCTGCCTGCCTCCACCGTGGCTGCTGCTATGTCAGTGTTATTGGCTGGCTCTGTAGCTGGCTCCTCCATAGTCCCTAGAGGGACCCTTTTTCATGGTCTTAGATCTGCATGGGTATCTGAGTGTATAAATGTGAATCTTGCTGCTGGTTCAAATCTATATCACCCTCCTGCAAGTGAGCCAATAGGTCACTATTCACAGTGGAAGTGGCTGCTTTGGCAACAAGGCAACTCCCTGATAGGGGCTCACTCACCAGAGATTGCACTTCTTCCACTGGTTTGTCTCTTGATTGGTTTGAATTTGCTCTGTCCTGATTTTATCTTTTCAGTTGAGACATGGCCTCAGTGCCTGCCTGTGGGGACCTGAGGGTGCTGCTCATATGCATGTTTCAACAGAACTGGAGAGGCACTGGCCTTACCCTAACCCCTGGCCCCAAAGCTTCACCAGAGCCTGGCTAGAATCAGAGATTGTTTAGCTGTCAGGGACCTCAGAGACTCTTGTTCAACCCTCTTGTCTTGGGGGTGACGAAAACCAGGGCACAAAAAGAGATGTGATCTGCCTAGATTTAGTGACAGCTTTGGACTAGAAGGTGTAACTTCTGAGGCCAGAGCTGTTTGCATTGGGTCACATTGTCCCAGCATGTTCCTCCTGACTTTTCTTTCTGGAAGACAGCCCTTTCCAAGCACAGTCAACCTAGTGTATTTTTTAACATTAGTTTTAGATGGAGTTGAATGAAGCAGCAGTGCTTGGCCTCTTGGACATGTCCCTGCCTATTTTTGGAGACTTTCTCTCCCCCTACTCTTCCCCTATTCTGTTTCTCCTTCTTCCTCTTTTGGGGTCTCTGTATCTCTCTTCCCTACCCCCCCTTTTTGTTGCTGGCTCTGCCTCTGTCTTTATCTGATAATAAGACAATTCTCCCTTCCATTGTCTCTATCCTCTCTTAACACCCTCTGGCTTGCTTTGGAAGAGGAACCGTTTCTATTTCTCCCCAGATGACAGCGACACACCCTCAGATAGCTTGGATAGCTCCTGCAGTTCGCCTCCTGCCTGCCAGGTAATGGATGTGCCTAGTGATCTCAGACGAACATATGCAGTCTGGGGATCCCTGCTGTAAAACGCTGAAAACTCAAGTTACCCCAGCTATGTAGTGGGAGCAAGAAAAGAGGGTTTCTTGAGTCATCACAGCATCCTCAGGTGAGGGGGGGTCAGGCTTCCACCCATAACCCATATCTGCATGGATCACCCAAACAAAGTGGGTCTGAACAGACTGTAAAAATGAAAGTGCTAATGGGAAACCCTCTTCTCCCCACACCCCAGTTGTTGGGCTCAAGTCTGCTCTGAGTCCTGATCTCCCTTGAATTGAGTCTCAGCATCTTCCTGTTGCCTCCACCTGCTCGTCTGTAATCCCATTCCCTGCAGACAGGTGGAACAAAGTCACTGGTAATCTTCCTCATTGCCCTGGACTGCTCCCAGACACAGCTATTTGGACCCAGATCTTCCCCACCAAGCCATGGGCGAATCTTGTTGAGTAAGAGTTCAGTCCTGGGGTCTTATTTCCCCCAAACGTGGTAGGGATCTTGACCCACATGTCTCTGCTTTTCTCCTAAGGCCACAGAGGATGTGGATTACACACAAGTCGTCTTTTCTGACCCTGGAGAACTAAAAAATGACTCCCCGCTGGACTATGAGAACATAAAGGAAATCACAGATTATGTCAATGTCAATCCAGAAAGACACAAGCCCAGTTTCTGGTATTTTGTCAACCCTGCTCTGTCTGAGCCAGCGGAATATGATCAAGTGGCCATGTGAATTCCAAATATTTTTAATGGGGTCCAGTTCTCTATGGATTCTTACATTTAATTTGTAGGGAAATGCCATTTTTCCCCCTTAAACAAGGCATGGGGCTCACAAGTCTATGGAGACAGGCCAAAAAGAATGTGGAGAAGAAAACTGATAAATACACAGAGGTCCTCAAGACCCATGGACTCCTGGTCTGTACCCAAAAAAGCTGTTCGTTCCTCAAAAACAAAAACAAGGCTTGGCTGGGAAAACAGGCCAATGCCCCGGCAAGAAAGGTTGAGATCAGATGTTAGGAAGAACTTTCAGGTAAAGTATGAGAACTATGGAGTCCATCAGCAGAGATAGTAGTGAAGTCTCTCCCCAGGGAAAATTTTAAAAAGGTTGAATCAGCTGTTGTAGAGTTCTATTTGGCAATCTCATGGTTAAATGACTTCCCTTTGAGCTCTTTAATTATTGGCAATAAACAACTTCTTTAAAAGTTTTAAATAAAATAGCAACCACCACCAGTTCCTCTTTTCCTGTTGCCTAACCCTGCAGTTTTCCTTGTTTTCAGTGATGTGTTTTGCTGAGTAATCCTCCTCTGTCCTCAGAACTTTAAATAGTGCATTTACAAAGCCCACCATCAATCAACCTTTGAATCTGCTGTTTCTTATAAGCCAAAGATGACAAATGGAATTTTGGTAAATATCAACCAGCATCATAATCTCTTATTCCAAGAAAAATCTCCCAAAGCTCAATCTAATAAAATTCAAGATTCATTCCTGGTGTTTTTAAAAAAACAATTAGGAATACAGGGACACTTCCTAACTCAATTAAGAATGATTTATCTCAAATCAGGAGATTACATGATATTTAACTGTAAGCTCCTAGACACAGTCCTATTAAGTCAGAAACAAAGTAAGAATGTCCACAAGCCTGCCATTTCCTTTGTTATCTAACATTGTTCTAGAAGTTCTAATCAGTTGATAAAACAGTTAACAAAAGCAAGAACTATGAAAAATTGGAGCCAGGCACGGTGGTGCACGCCTGTAGTCCCAGCACTTTGGGAGGCTGAAGCAGGTGGATCACTTGAGGTTAGGAGTTCAAGACCAAACTGGCCAACGCGGTGAAACCCCATCTCTACTAAAAATACAAAAATTTGCTGGGTGTGCTGGTTGGCACCTGTAATCCCAGCTACTTGGGAGGCTGAGGCAGGAGAATCACTTGAACCCGGGAGTTGGAAGCTGAGTGAGCCAAGATCATGGCACTGCACTCCAGCCCGGGTGACAGAGCAAGACTCTGTCTCAAAAAAAAAAAAAAAAAAAAAATAGAAATGAGGAAAAATTTGTCATCCTTTTCAGATATCCTAGCCCTAGAAAACCAGAGAATTAAAATGCTTTAAAATTGATAACATGAGTAACCAGTGACTAGAGAAATATTTTTCTCCAACAGCTAATTTGACATGAAGTAAAAAGAAATTTTGCTCATAATAGCTAAACAAACATGCCCCCAAAATTGAAACCCTAGGTTTACTCCTAGCCAAATTCAAACCCAAGATCAGTGGTATTCAGGTTTTAGACACCTGAGATTTATTAACTGTGCTCCATTTGCTGGCTGTGGATGACCCTCCCAGCCCTGGTGCTGAGAGCATCAGGCAGGCTTTCCTCCTCCTGAGTTCTTCTTCCCCAAGATGATCTAAGGGGATGATTCTGGTTTGGGTTTCTGGGGTTGGAAAATGTTGCTGGCTTGTTTGTCCCTTCACCTTTTAGCTACCACTGTCGTTCCTCTCCTTACAAAGCTTTTTTTAATGGGGTACAACAGAGTCTACTGATTAGACAGGCAGAATGAGGAATAAATACCAAAAATAATAACAGCAACATTGTCCCATCAAGAAGTGAAACTCTACTTCTTATTGATTTCTTCTATTTATTATTTATCTAATTATTTACTTTTAGAGACAGGGTCTCTGTCACTCAAACTGGAGTGCAGGAGTATGATCATGACTCAGTGTAACCTTCAAATTCCTGGGTTCAAGTGATCCTCCTGCCAAAGCCTCTCAAGTAGCTGGGACTATAGGTGCATGCCATGATGCCTAGTTAATTTTAAAAATTGTTTTGTAGAGAGGGTTTCACTATGTTGCCCAGGCTGCTCTTGAACTCCTGACCTCAACAGATCCTCCTACCTCAGCATCCCGAAGCACTGGGATTACAGGCATGAACCACTGCACCCGGCCTGATCTCTTAAAAAAAGGGGGAAAAAATGCCAGGCGCGGTGGCTCACGCCTATAATTCCAGTACTTTGGGAGGCCAAGGCGGTTGGATCATTTCAGGTCGGGAGTTCGAGACCAGCCTGGTCAACATGGTGAAACCCCGCCTCTACTAAAAATATAAAAATTAGCCTGTTGTGGTGGTGCACGCCTGTAATCCCAGCTACTCAGGAGACTGAGGCAGGAGAATGGCTTAAACCGGGAGGCAGAGGTTGCAGTGAGCCAAGACGTGCCATTGCACTCCAGCCTAGGTGACAGAGCAAGACTCCGTCTCAAAAAAAAAGAAAAGAAAAAAAAATTCAAGAGTGTACTGAAGAGATTCAGACAAGTTACATTGCACCCAAGAGACACCGCAGGGACAATGCTGAGACAGCTCCCACCAGGAGAGGGGATGAGAGTAAACAGACTGCCTGCTTTCCGCAGAATTCTGGGACAGGCCTTGGGTGTTGAGAGGAGAGATCAACAAAAAGAAGATTGGGTGGGGTCAAGGCATCTATGACCTAATTGTGGGGACAGGAAAGAGCCAGAGAGCATGTACAAAACAACATGTAAAAAACAATGAACACAGAGCAATGAAACCAGAGCCTATCAGTATTTACACAGATCCGGGGAATAGGATGTTAGAATCAGCCAGCCTTAATCAGAAAAAACATCCCAGAAAGAGGTGATTTCTGACCTCAGTTTAGAAAAAAAGGGCGGAGGCCGGGCGCGGTGGCTCACGCCTGTAATCCCAGCACTTTGGGAGGCCAAGGTGGGCGGATCACAAGGTCAGGAGATCAAGACCATCCAGGCTAACATGGTGAAACCCCGTCTCTACTAAAAATACAAAAAATTAGCCGGGCGTGGTGCCCGGCGCCTGTAGTCCCAGCTACTCGGGAGGCTGAGGCAGGAGAATGGTGTGGACCCGGGAGGCGGAGCTCGTAATGAGCCGAGATCGTGCCGCTGCACTCCAGCCTGGGGACAGAGCGAGACTCCGTCCCCCCCGCCAAAAAAGAAAAAAAGGGTGGAAAATCAACTGATGGGAGAAAAGGCAGGAGGAAAAGGAACAGACCTGACCTGCTGCAGGCTCTCAATAAATGCCTGAGGGGCGGCCCAGAGTGGCACTGTCTGGAGAACTGTCTGTGTCTGGGCTCAGAGGCTGCTGTGATACTCTGGCGCAGGGAGTTGACGTCAGGGAGACCAGAGACCAGAGGCTAGAATGATTGTAGACCATCTGATTAAGCTCTGTAATAAACTCTGCTTCAGAAATATGACATTCAGTAGTGAATATATCATGGAGGTTAACATTAGAACCCACCCTGATTGCTTATTAAGTGAAGGCATTCTTGGAGAGTGCTGTTAGATTTAACAGTTAGATTTAACAGTAGATTTAAACGTGTGACCCTACCAAGTGACTTACAGAGGTTAGAACTTCAATAGTGCACATGACTGCTCAGATGCCCTCATAAGTACAGAGGAAGGCTGATGTCACCTCCTGAGGAGTTTGAGCCAATAAGCTAATAATTGGGGCCAGCTAACAAATTGAACTAATCCTCAAAGTCATTGCAAGCCACGTAGAAACAAAATGGCCTTTTGTTTGTCATATTTCCATGAGCTTCAAGGGTGAGCTGTCTAAATCGGTACAAATAGTCACCTGTATGAGTAACCACCCTTTGAGGAGCATAGCTTCCAGTTCAGTGAAGTCACATTCTCCCACGTTATATGTCATTGGTACCTCCCAGAAACAATCATACTGTTTCACACTGGGTTTCTCCATGGACATGGACTGGACAAAGATTTTTCCAAAATTATCTGATAATAAGACACAGAAAAACTGATTTGCTATTGGCAACCAGTAGATGGTGGATTACATGCCAACAATGACCTAGGAATATAGACCACAGTAGACCATAATAAATGTGACCTGTTTTCAATGAATTCTTATTCTAAAGGAGCAAGCATCCAAATGCTCACCATGGGAACTGCAGCAAAATTCCACGAGCATCCTATTAGCCACCAAGACGTGCTAGGGTGAGGAGGTATTTTACGCTCAACATCAGTGGGTTTCTTTGCTTCTGGAATTGGGACAGATTGCTGGGCTCCGAGGCACTCTCAGAGAAGCCTCCTAACCCATGCCCCCAGATTCTAAACCAGAACCCGTAAAGTAACTATAGCTCATGTGGCTTTTTGAGGTCCTACTAGGGCCCTCAAACACTGACTCATGTGTCTTGCTGCCTTTTGGGCAGGAATTCCTATACTCATTTCCTCACCTTGCAGTAGAAACCTCTTGTTCTTTGCCTTGCCAAATCTCCGTGGGTTTAGAGAGAACCCAGTGTGTGTCCATGTATCTCAGGAGAACCGGGTCAAGTGAGGGACCAAGACTCTTTGGAACTTGAGGACTCACAAGCTAAGAGGCTGGGTGACTTTCCTAGCCTTCCCTGTTAGTCATTACTGCTTCATATCCTCCAGGAGAGTTAAAGAATGTGCACTGGATCTCAGCAATATTTGGCTAGAGAAAGGGCCTTACCCTGATTCTTAGGCAGGAGCTGCCAAGTCAAGCCCAGCGGAGGCCAGGCCCACTTTTGGCTCCACACTGCCACCTTGTGGTCCTATGGCAAACTCGAAGACACTGCTTTTCCCACTTAAACTGGATGCAGGGTGGCCCCTTTCCCCAGCAACCTCACCCCTTCACTCAAGACAAACACACTTTAATTTTATCTTGCACATCCAATTATCATTGTCCCTAGAAAACTAAAGATGCGCAGGAATTTCCTGGATATTAAATCTTTTTATTGGTGAATTTCAACCTGGGTTTCTGACCCAGGAATGAACTGCTACAGCCTGGGCTGAATCTATAGCCCTGTAGTAGATAAGTGATCTATTTACATACAAAACACAGACACATTATCTGGGAAAGTACTGGCCTGTGCCAAACAACATAACGATTCTGAGAAATCCCCGTAGTCAACCGATGAACCCCTCCTGTCCTCCTCTCTGTCCCGTCTGCCCCTCATGTCCTGCTTGTACATAGGTTTTAAGGGACTAAAGTACTGTCATTCACAGTCACAGGATGGCATAAACAATTTACACAAGTGCCCAGCCAGAGACGGCATTGTTCAGTTTCTCCTGGGGTTAGCCGTCAGAAATGGGATTCACCCCAGAGAGCACAGAGCCTCCTTCTTGCTTCCACAGGGCCCCTCCTCCTTGAACCCTATCCAAGGCCCTTCCACTGGCCCAGACTGTCCAGGCGAGCCTCCTACAGGTCCTGCAGAACTTTCACTCATAGATCCGATGAGATCCACCATTTCCTTCAGGAGCTTCCTGGAATGGGTTCCCGAGGCCCTCAGCCAGTGTGCAGTCGCTCCCCACTGTCCATATCACAGGACAGAACCAGCTTTCTGGAAAAGATCAAGTGTAGCCTTTCCATGGGAGGAACAATGAGGGCTCCAAAGCCACCACCCCAAGTAAATTATTCTTGTGCAATGCAAAACAGAAAATATCATAGTAGTAAGAGGGGATCTATAGAAGGCAAAGGGTAGACAAGAAAGTGCTTTAGTCAGCCTTGATCCCAGGTCTGTCTCCTCTTTTCCTCTCTGAACTGTAGACTCTTTTGGGTCAGGACCCTGGAGGTCATCTACCAGATGCAATCTGGAGCCAGGCCATTGTTCCCCTCTCTAACATCTGTTGAGTGCTCTATCTCTAGTCTACAATCTTACAAATCCCTCCCAACAAAGTGGGCATTGCTATTTCTATTTAATAAATGAAGAAAGCATTGCTGGGGGAGATTGGATAACTTGCTTAAGTTGATACAGGTAGAAAAGGGGTGAGATCAAGATGCAAACCCAGGTCTTTGGGGCACACAGCTGGTGTTCCTTCTACCTCCCAGTCATCATGAAGAACAAAGATTTACCAACTCTAGGCATTAGGGTCAGAAACTGTGGTCTAAAGATGGGGCAAGGGGGTGGGGAGGCCGCTTTTGTAAGCAGGGGAAGGAGCAGATTCAACAGCTCTGGCTGGCATGGGAGGCTTCTAAGCCCACTTCACCAGGGCAGATAGACAGGGAAGAAGTATTAGATGTCAGGGGCTGACATGGGCAACAGAACTCAGTGAGAGGGAGACTGTGGGTCCTCCCATCTGCCTGAGCCTTGGTCCCATTAGGGTCTCACTCTCCAGTTCTCTAGCACTGAAGGACTGGGACGCTTTGCTCACTCACAACATTCAGCAAGGCTCTTTTCTTTTTAGAAAGCCTCAGGAGGCTTCTTAGAGCTGAGTGGCCTCTTAAAGAAGTATATCCGCAAAGCCACAGTCATTCCTCAAAGCTTCCCTGGGAGTCAGGGGTAGAGACTGAAAGTGTTCCCTAGAGCTTCCCTCAGGAGCTCTTAATTAGATTAGTAATTCCTTACGTTAGTATAGAGCTCATGACTTTACAAATGACTTTTATATCCACAGTCCTATTTGATTCTCAGAACCAAGCTAGCAAGGACTGGCCAGCATTTTATTGATGTGTGTCATTGGTGGTGGCAGAACCAGGATGCAGCTTTGCTGATGTTTCAGCTGATGTCTTTTCCACCAGCAAGGCTCTCTCTTCAATTGGAATCAGAATTGGGTTGGGGAAGCTATGCCATGATAAAAGTCCCCTGGAGATAATGAGCATGTGCCATGCTCTTCCTCTACCTCGGTCTACCTTGGCCTGCAGCCTCTCCCAGCCTTGGAGGAGGATTCAGCATCCCAGATGAGGACAAAAGTGGACAGTATGGCCATGGTGGGACCCACCGTCACCAGAATTGAGTCAAAGAGTATATCAATGCCATTGTCATAAAAATGCAACAACTCTTCTAGACCCTGTTGGTTATAATATCCTTTGTGTTTCTCTGTAACACCATTTCCAGTATTGCAGAGTCATGGAAGGTTGGAGTTTAGAGATCATCTCACCTATTACACAGGTGAGGAGACTGGGTCCTGGAAAGGGAGAGTGACTCACCCAAGGTCACACAGATA
Organism: Homo sapiens; assembly: GCF_000001405.40. NCBI lineage: Eukaryota > Metazoa > Chordata > Mammalia > Primates > Hominidae > Homo > Homo sapiens. Next base: position 206,109,166 of record NC_000001.11, read on the forward strand.
CTGAAGGCAGAGCTGAGATTCAAACCCGGGCTCCTAACTGGATCACAGCATCCATATGGTTCATGGTGGAAGCTCTGAAGAGCCTGGAGGGTGTCCAGAGCCATGATGATGTCACCTTTTCTCAAAGGAGGTCTCCTCTGTGTAGCCCCCGGGGAAAGAGCAGGCTGGATTCCCTGGGGGGTGGGTTGGGGAAAGGAGGGAGGGCCACAAGTCCCTGCTGCCCTTGAGGCTTATTCTTGCTGTTAATTTTATGATGACCATTTTCATCTTCTCCTTCCCTCCCTCTTTCTTCCCACCCACACTGACAGTGGACCAGACCACAGAGAATATACAACACTTTCCCGTCATCCACGCTGTCATGGGGGGTGGCACGAGGAGAAGAGGGACTGGCATTTGCAGAGTTCCTGCTAGGTACCAGGTACTATACTGAATCCTGCATCTCCATGAGACCATCTCCCTTCAACAGACAGCTGGGCACAGCAGGGTAATCCCTACATATCCATTCACTTTTCTTCATGAAGCAATTTTCTCTCTAACAACAACAACAACAACAACAAATCCAGGATCCAAATAGAGTCCTCCTCACGGTTTTTCACTTCTCCCCTCTCCTGGTTAGGCTGAGATGTGCCAGTCAGGTTAGAATGGAGACAGGTAGCCAGGGCACAAGGCCAGCCTCTGAATTCCTGCCACCCGTGGACCCCTAGACAGCACCATCCTAGGCCTGCCTAGATCTGGGACACCATGTGTGCATGGACACCCTATGAATATGGCAGGACCAGGGAGACAGGCAGTTTGATTCTCCCTGACTGCCAGTGTCTGAGATTGGGAGCTTATGAGGCAGCCCTCACACTAGGGGCAGCTGTGACACCAGGGTAGGGGACCCATTCTGGCCTTTTCGCTCCGCTTTAGACAGGGCTCCTCTAACTCCAACCCTTACCCTCCCAGCTCTCATTTCCAGTGCCCGAGGTGGGCAGAGAACCTCCACTAGTCCTGGGGGCAGTACCAGACCCCAGCGAGTCTTTCCTAAAAGATGATGGTCTCAGCGGTGCCTTCCCCATCTGCCAGCTCCAAGTCCCTTGGTGACTCTTCAGGCCTGGGCCTCCCACTGAGGGTTAGGCTGAGGCTGAGGCTGAGGGTGGCCGGGCAGCTGGAGCGGGTCAGCAGCGTGGTGTGGCGGCTCGAGAGGCTGCCGTCGGAGAGCCGCCGGCGCATCCTGGGCTGGGGACCCCCACAGCAGGCAAGGTGACGCAGGGGCCGCGGTAACAGGTGGCTGTTGAAGCCCATGTAGATCCAGGGGTTGCAGCAGCTGTTGAGGTTGCCCAAAAGCATAGAGATGGTGAAAGCCACATTGGTGGAATCTACCAAGAGAGAAGCATGAGAAGCCTCAGAATGGCAGCTCGAAGGGACCTGGGAGAGCGTCCAGGCCCCACAGATGAGGAACAGATGAGGAAACTGAGTCCTAGAGAGGGGAAAGGAGTCACTCAGTGTCCTATAATTAGAGAGACACACACAGCTGAGACTTGAACCTGGGACTCCTGGCTCCAGAGTCTTACCATGCTGATTTTGTTTGTTTGTTTTTGTTGTGTAACTGCAGGGTGAAGGTAGGAGCTGAGGTTTCCTTCAAGTTTAATTGAGAAGAAGGAATGTTGTCAGGGATAGGATCAGCCCAGATAGGAGAAACTGACTTTATTCCAAAACCTAGACCTTGAGTCCCCTAATGGCTGTAGACCTAGAATGAGACAACTTCTGTAAAACAGGCAGGGAAAATAACCAAGCTCAGGCCCCGCCCATCTCCATCCCCACTTACATTATACATCATGGATTCACATGGCCTCCTGGACTCTGTCTCCTTCTATCCCTCAGGGGCAGGCCCACTCATTCTATATTCAGTCATTGAGTGTGTGGGCATCGACTCTGCCTGACTCTATGCTGGGGACCTGATGGGGCAATCAATGGAGCCTGACTGCCCTATCGACACCTATGCCATCATTGCCCCCTACAGCCAAGGGGGCAGCTTTTACATACTGGGCCTCCAAGCACCCCTCTCCAGACCAGAACTTGTTCTGTGTTCTTAGATTGTGCCTAGGAACTGTACCTTTCTGCAGGGAAAAACTAATTTCTCTCTTGGGCAGTCAAAATGTGAGGATGCCAAGGCTATAAGATTCCTTCCAGACAAAATATTCTTTCTAAAGACTAAATGAAACCCTCATGTCAGCAGGAAAGCTGCTAGGATGAGCTTTGGCCTCCTGCTGGATCTGTCATGGTTATAGCCATGGCATAGGTGGCATACTGAGTCACCTCACTCTTCAGTGGAGGTTGTAGAATCATTGAAAGCAATTTCAGAACTGGAAGGAACCTTAGAAGTAAGCTTTCTAGTTTTTATAGCACAGTTAGTAAGAGCTGCAACTCGAAGTCTTTCAGCTCTAAGGTAGAGATCCTATACTCCACCAGAGCTTCAACCAGTAAAATAAAAGGCAAAGCTCAACTGCCTACTCTGCAAAACACTGTGAAAGCTTCAGATGCACAGGCTCTTTGTGCACGTGTCCCAGGGGCATGCTCGTGGATGTGGCAACTCATGGCTCAAGAGAAGGGAAGACATAGGCCGAGAACATTTGATAGAGAACATGAGTCATAGGAGTGGGAAGCTAAAGGTATCTGGGCCTGGATGGACTGGTTCAGGGAACAGAAGTGAAGGTAGAGTGGGAAGCACCTGGAAGTAGAAGAGGGATGATATGGTTTGGATGTCGGCTGGGCGCAGTGGCTTACGCCCGTAATCCCAACACTTTGGGAGGTCGAGGCAGATGGATCACCTGAGGTCAGGAGTTCAAGACCAGCCTGGCCAACATGGTGAAACCCTGTCTCTACTAAAAATATGGAAAATTAGCCGGCTGTGGTGATGTGCACCTGTAGTCCCAGCTACTTGGGAGGCTGAGGCGGGAGAATCGCTTGAACCCGAGAGGCAGAGATTGCAGTGAGCTGAGATCGCGCCATTGCACTCCAGCCTGGGTGACAAGAGCAAGACTCCATCTCAAGAAAAAAAAAAGAGAGACAGGGAGAAAAAGAGTTTGGATGTTTGTGCCCTCCAAATCTCATGTTGAAATGTAGCCCGCAGTGTTGGACGTGGGCCTGATGGGAGGTGATTGGATCACAGGTCAGTTGTTTCACATGAGATCTGGTTGTTTGAAAGAGTCTGGGACCTCTCCCTTCTCTGTCTTGTCCTTTCTCACCATGTGATACGCTGGCTTCCCCCTTCACCTTCTGCCATGATTGGAAGCTTCCTGAGGCCCTCGCTAGAAGCAGATGCCGGCACTATTCTTCTTTTTAATTTTCTTTTTGAGACAGGGTCTCGCTCTGACCCTCAGGCTGGAGTGCAGTGTGTGATTATGGCTCACTGCAGCCCTGACCTCCTGTGCTCAAGCAATGCTTCTACTTCAGCATCCTCGGTAGATGGGACCAGAGGGGTGAACCAGTGTGCCACCATGCCTGGCTAATTTTTTTTATATTTAGTAGAGATGAGGTCTCACTGTTTCCCAGGCTGGTTTTGAACTCTTGGAATCAATTGATCCCCCTGCCTCAGCCTCGCAAAGTGCTGGGATTACAGGCATGAGCCACCACACCCAGCCTGGCACCATGCTACTTGTATAGCCTGCAGAACTGTAAGCCAAAGTAAACCTCTTTTCTTTATAAATTTCTCAGTTTCAGGTATTCCTTTATAACAATGCAAATGGACTAACACAAGGGACAAGCCCCCAAAACAAGCTCAGCCTTCCTTCCGTTTTGCCTGGTTTCTGGCCTGCTCCCTAGTTAATGTGTAACTACAAGTTGCGGAAGATTTGGGAAGTGGCTTTGGCTGAGGGGACAGTATTCATCCTGTCTGCTCCATCGATGTGCATTTAGTGTCCAGATTAAGCCAGGGACAAAGGAGTTCCACAGGTTCCTTCATTTAGGAAGTGCCTGTTTGGTTTGGCTCACGTGAGCCAGGCCTTGGTAGGGGCTGGAGACGTGCCACAGAGGAGGTGCTGCAGAGCAGGTGCCAGAGGCAGTGGAGGCTGTGCTTCCCAGCCCTTGAGGGTGGATCTACCACACCCAGTCCTGGCCTCCGTTGCCTCCTGCCAGAAACTCAGCTGATGGTCGGGGACAGGGGCAGGGACAAGGAAACAAGCAGGCTCTGACCAAAGACTTGGGGCTAGGGGGCAAACAGGCCGGCATGCAGAGGAGGGGAACTGTGTGTACTGGAAAGCAAGTTTAAAGTAATGAATTTCTCCCCCAAGGGCTTTCATTTTTCTGGGAGCACATTGTCTGTAAGATAACCCTTTGGGACAACCCACTGTCCCATGCATTCCTTGCCCAGAGAGGTCCTTGGTAAGTGGTGAATCACTCTACACAAGTGAGGGCTGAGGTGTTGAGGGACAGGTTGATGATGATAGTTGATACTACAGGCAAGTAGGAAAGTCTGCACTGGCTGAGTGGCAGGAGCACCATCTTCTCCTCAATAAAGAGGCAGATGACCATCTCACCCCGGTGCCACTGGCTATGCCACAATGTTGGGAGTAAAGCCATGACCTGGATGAAGCTTGGCCCATAAAGACCTCAATTCAAGCCCAAGCTCTATCTCTCACTAGCAGTGGCATTTTGGACCAGTTATTTTGCCTCTATGAGTCTCAGGTGACTCAAATTTAAAATACAGAAGGCCACTCCTCAGTAGCATGAGGGCTGAATGTGCCTGTGCCTAGGAAACCCTCCTTCCTTCTATTCTGTGCTTGGCTAGAGCAGGGAGGTCCCTACAGTTGGCTAGAATTAATTAGAATTGCTCATTGCTTAAAGGATAATCTGCAAATAATCTCTTGCCCAGACGATGTCAAAAGGGCGATTAAGAAGGGATATTGTATTAAGAAGGAAGTTTGGTATTACTTTTGCACGCCTCTTGCATGGTTGTATTAAATTCATGAATGGCTCTCCTCTATTTCATCTCTCCAGAAAAGCAAAGCATTTGGCTTAAGCACGTCCTGGGATGAGCAAAATGAGATCAGAAACAACAATACAAAGGAAGGGGACCACTGGTGGGAATTGGTGGCCTGAGACTGCTGCTTAGTGAACTCTCAGGAAGCTTCCAGAGGAACCTGTGCACAGGGCCTGCCTAGGACACTTGCAGGTGTTACCCACTATACATCCTGAGCTGTGCACACTATGAGATGCACTGCAGGGCACAATCACCCCTCTTCATAGCCACCCAGACAGGTCAGCATGCACTTGTCCTCATGCCTCACTCCTGCTTAGGGGAGCAGGAGCAGCTGTTCTGAATACTGCTCTCCAACACTTAGGCTGCCTAGACACAGCCCCTGCCTTCCTGAGAACAAGTTCACCTCTGGACGGCCAGACCATCAGGCACTGTCTAAAGCTCAGGAGGACACTGTCTACTACACCCCAGAAAAATGATGAGAGCCAGGCCTCCCATGTGCCAACTGTAGCACAGTCCTCTTAGAGGTTCCCATGTTGTTTTTCACACAGGAGAAAGGTCTCCCTCCTTTTAGAACCACTTTTAAAATCAGGGTTATTAATGGGGTTGAGGAAAAAGACAAGGAGACAGAAGACCTGGGCTTTATTCTTCACTTTGTCACTCCCTAGCTGTGAGGCCTGGGGCAAGTCATGGTTCTGAGGCAGGAAAACAGCAGAGGGAATTAGAGGTTGGATAAAAAGCAGAATGAGTAGGAGCAGAAGCAGGATAAAGAGGAGGGTGAGCAAGAGGCAAGATAAGAAGCAGAAGCTGAGCCAAAACAAAAGTTATATGAAGTGAGTCAAGAGCCCCCATGGTTGGCTAGATTCAGACCAATCCAGTAAGGGGCAGCTCCTCAGAGATGGGCATGTATATTAAAGAGAAAAAGTATCCCTAAAATGACCCCATATGAGAATCAGCTCATTAAAGCTCATGCATAGGTACTGCATAGCATGCATGCACTTAAAATTATGAGATGAAGGTTACGTGCAAGTGCACAAGGGCCAAAGTAACTAAGCAACCTACCTATCAATCAAAAGCCAGATGCTGGTTAAAGATTAGGCAGCTCGGGGAAGAGAAAAAAAAAACACATAAAAAGGCCCAAAGTACACCAAACTGACGCCGATCTCATTTCACAGAGCTTAGCCCACTCTCCCCTCTCCGAGAGTGTTACTGTGCTTAATAAACTTTTGCTACTTTGCTATTTGTGTGTGTCACATCCAATTCTTTGTTCGTGGCACCAAGAACCTGGGACTTCACCACATCAGCTGGTAACAGTTCCTCTCTGAGCCTCTGTTTCCTCATTAGTAACATGAAGAGGTTGAACTGGAAATTTCAGGGTTTTCATGTGCCAACCCTAATTAACTGGAAGTGTCTGTTGAGAAGGAGCTCAAAGGCATGTCCAGGTGCAGGAGGGACAAGGCTGAGAGAGCAAGTTCATGGGCCACAAATTGCTATCATTCTATGATTTTAAAGCCCATCTAGCAAACTAGTAGTTGGTGGCCAAATGTGCTAATGGTCATATTTCATTAGTACCACCTAGTATTTTAAAATTGTTAGTTACCAAAATTTTTAAAGCTGGAAATTTCACGTAAAAGATACTGACATGGCATCGGTAGGCTGAATGGAAATCATAACTGCCCCTTTTCACTTGGAGCAGGCACCATCTTCCTTCATTGCCCCACTAGTTTGTCACCTGCCTGGCCCTGGGAGGCATTGTAACCCTGACCTAATCCCCCATCCTCTCTTTCTGTCTCTCCCACCTCACTGCCCCCACATAGACCCCACTTGCCTTCATCAGGGGCATTCTTGTCCCACACGGACCACATCTGGACACTGAAGAAGGGAGCCCAGCAAGCGATGTAGGCCAGCACGATGACAAAGGTCATCTTCACTGTTCGGATCTTGGCCCGTGAGATGGTGTTGATGCTGCTGACCCGAGATGGCAGCCCCCGAGTGGTGGCAGCTAAGGTGGAAGGTGAGGGCCTGTCCCAAGTCCTCCAGCCCCCTCCTCCCACCCGCCAGGCCTGTGTCTTGACTTTTAGGTTTTTACAGATCTCATGGCAGATGAGGCTGTAGCAGGCCGTGAGCATGGTCACCGGCAGAACGAAGATAGCCAGGGTGGTCCAGGTGAGGTAGGCCCGTGGCCCCCAAGGGAAGCCGAAGTCTGCCCAGCAGTCCAGCACCCCTGAGCCCTGGATCACCTCCCGCAGGGAAAAAATGAAGACTTGAGGGAGGCTGAAGATGGCGGCCAGCAGCCAGGGAGCAGCGATGAGCAGGTAGGTGGACTGGCCTGGCTGCTGGAGGCTGCGCAGGGGGTGACAGACAGCCAGGTAGCGGTCCAGCGTCATGGCCAGCAGCATGTAGGTGGAGGCAAACATGCTGAGCACCTGCAGGTACTTGACGGCCCTGCACAGGAGGTCGGGGCCCTGGAAGCGGTAGGTGATGTCCCACAGCAGCTGTGGCAGCACCTGGAAGAGCGCCACGGCCAGGTCTGTCAGGGCTAAGTGCAGCACGAACAGGTGCATGCGGGAGCGCTTGCGGCCCAGCTGGCCCAGGGTCAGCAGCACAGCCAGGTTGCCCCCGGTCGCCAGCACCAGGACAGTGGCCAGGACTCCGATCTCCACCTTGGCCAGCTCCTCATCCCGGCCCAGCCAGGGTGTTGTGGCATTGGGGGCAGAGAGGGTGCCCCGAGGGGTGGGGTTGGCATCCCACAGAGGCCCAGAATCCATGAGCAAGGTTTGCTGGGAGGGAAGGATGAAGGGAGGGTGTGGATGCAAGTGGAGAGGTTTGATGGATAAAATGGAGTGGCAGGGGAGGTGGAGAGAAAGGAGAAGCGTTGAGAATGACAGGGAGAAGGCTTGCAAATAGGCGGAAATCGTTCAGAGGACTGGGATAGAGAGGAGGAGGGAGGATGAGATTCGGAAGGAGAAAATGTGACTGGGATCGACCCAGGAGAGGGAGAAGGAGGGGTCAGGAAGATGGGGAATCAGGACGGGAAGAATGGGGGACGCTGTGCAGAGTGAGGCTTCTGGGAGGGAAAGAAGGCTGGGGAGGGGCTACCACCCTCCAATCCGCCTCAAATTCTCTTTCTCCAAACTTTTCTGGAAGCCAAGAGCGGAAGCCCTTCAGCCTGCTTGGAGGCGCGGTCCGGGGCAGTCGGTGTCGCGCTCAGGGCAGGAAGCCCCAGCCAAGCCCGCTCGCTCTGCCTGGTGAGCAGCGGCTGGAGCGCAGCGGCGCGGCTCGGGCGGGTTTTATGGGCTCCCAGGCCGAGCCCGGCGGCCTGCGGCTCGCCAGTTGGCTCCTGCAGAGGAGGGAGGAGTGAGGTTCGCAGGCACCCACCCGGCGGGATGACCGAGAGGCCGGCTGCTGGAGGGAGGGGGGGCAGAGGGGGTAGCGGACGAGGGACAGGGAGCGAGACAAGCAGGCGACGCAGGCCAGCGCCCAGCAGCCGGCAGGACACACCGACCCGCAGGCAGGCAGATAAGCTCCTCTGCGCACTCACCCTGGAACTCTCGGGCCGTCTCTCCACAGGTGCATCCCCGGGGGATGGTGAGAGGCAGTCACTCCTCCCACCTACGCGGGGGCACTTCGGCTGGCGGCTGTTGGCGCGCCCTCTGCCAGCCGGCTAGCCGGTGCAGGATCCACAATCTTCAAGGGTGGCCAGGTGAGCGAGGCGGCATCCCTGATTGCCAGTCACCTGGGAGTGACGTCTGACCGCAGACCCTGTTGAGGGACTGCGAGGCATAGGGAAAGGAAGAAAAAGTGAGGGTATATGTGGGGGTGGGGAGACGAAGGAGCTAGACCTGAGAGCCCTGGTGCTTGATCGGTGGGAACAGCCGGAGAAATTCCCGGTATTTGCGTCCCCAAGGGACATCTTAACTTCTGGCCTATGTGCTTTTCGTGCTTAGGTGCTTCCAAGATCCTAAACGCAGTTAACCACTCGGCGAGGTAGAAAACAGGCCCAGAGAAGTTCAAGAACTTGCTGTAGAAGATTACTGAACGAGTAAGCAGCAGAGGCCGGTCTAGAACCAGCCCCGTGTGCCCTTCTGACAGCGCAGCAGCAGCACTTAACACCTAACCGGCTTGGCTAAATTCTATGTGAGAGGCACTGGTGCTGACGGTAAAAATAAAAACAAAACACCATCCAGTCCAGAGGCAGCTTACAGCTCAATAGAGAAGGTATTGTGTGGTGTTGGCTGTGAAATTCACTTAATCTTCAGTATGCAAGATGGACTATTGGGACTCTCCCTAGAGCAGATTAGAAGTTAGGAGTGACAGACTGGGCGCGATGGCTCACGTCTGTAATCCCAGCACTTTGGGAGGCCGAGGCGGGCAGATCACGAGGTCAGGAGATCGAGACCATCCTGGCTAACACGGTGAAACCCCATCTCTACTAAAAATACAAAAAATTAGCCGGGCGTGGTGGCGGGCGCCTGTGGTCCCAGCTACTGGGGAGGCTGAGGCAGGAGAATGGCGTGAACCCGGGAGGCAGGGCTTGCAGTGAGCCGAGAACACACCACTGCACTCCAGCCTGGGCGACAGAGTGAAACTCTGTCTCAAAAACAAACAAACAAACAAACAAACAAACAAACAAACAAAATTTAGGAGTGACAATAGTAGGGTCCCAGACTCTCAGAAAGGGCAGAGTCTGTGACAGGAGAGAAGTCCTTTTGTCTTGCTTTTTTTTTTTTTTTTTTTTTTTTTGAGACAGAGTCTTGCTCTGTCGCCAGGCTGGAGTGCAGTGGCACAATCTCGGCTCACTGCAACCTCTGCCTCCCAGGCTCAAGCGATTCTCCCTCCTCAGCCTCCCAAGTAGCTGGGATCACGGGCACCCGAACCACGCCCAGCTAATTTTGTATTTTTAGTAGAGGGGGGTTTCGCCATGTTGGCCAGGCTGGTCTCGAACTCCTGACTTCAGGTGATCCACCTGCCTCGGCTTCCCAAAGTGCTAGGATTACAGGCATGAGCCACTGCATCTGGCCTTTGTCCTGCCTTTTAACCAGACTCCCCTTTATAATGTCACCAGACATCCAATTAGCATTACTTCTTGAAGGTTCTACCTCCTCAACAGCCTACAAATTCAGCGCCTTCATTCCATCCCATGACCACTTACCATTTAGCTGCCTAAAATATAGTAGCATCCTCCTTCTGTGCTTTGGAGCCCAAGCTTCCACCTTCCCAAGGATTTTGCTCTTTATGATTTTCATTCTGTCTACCAGATCATTCCCACCCATTTGCAAACAAGCTGTAGTAATATTTATTTAAAAAAATAATTATAACTCTCCTTAGCCACTATACTCCCACTTCCAGCTATTACAATCCCTACCATTTCACAGCAGAACTTCTCAAAACAGCTGTCTATGCTTGTCCCCATTCTCTTACTCTCAATAATTGATACATTGTACTATTCTGGAAATTGCTTTTTAAACTCTACATTATGGTGGGGCATGGTGGCTCACGTCTGTAATCCCAGCACTTTGGGAGGCCGAGGTGGGCGGATCACCTGAGGTCGGGAGTTCGAGACCAGCCTGGCCAACATGGTGAAACCCCATCTCTACTAAAAATACAAAAATTAGTTGGGCGTGGTGGTGGGCACCTGTAATCCCAGCTGCTTGGGAGGCTGAGGCAGGAGAATCACTTGAACCCAAGAGAAGAAGGTTGCAGTGAGCTGAGATCCCACCATTGCACTCCAGCCTGGATGACAAGAATGAAACTTTGTCTCCAAAAATAAATAAATAAATAAATTCTACATTATTTTTGACATCTGTCTATGCTGATACATAGGCTAGATCTAGTTCATTCATTTTTAACTACTGCATAGTATTTAAGCATATGGATATGGCACATTTTGTTCACCAGAAATTTATTCAACTTTTATAATTTATTTCCAGCTTTTCCCCCATTTATTTTTATTTTAAAGTGCTACAGTGAATGTTCTCATATGTCTCTTTGTGTTCATGTGTCAGAATTTCTCCCAGGTGTATATCTAGAAGTATATGCTGAGTATAAGTATTGCTGTGTCATATAATGTATGAGTTTTCAACTAAATAGGACCATATCCTGAATTTTATCTCTAAATTAGTTGTATTAAATTAGTTGTCCAACAAGCTGCATTTTAGTTTCCCAACATCTTCATATTCAGACTTTTTAATTTTTATCAATCTGGTAGGTGTAAAAATAGCATCTCATTTTGCTTTTTTATTTCTCTGATTACTGAGTATTTTGAGTATCTTTCCTTGTATTTATTTGTTGTTTGGATTTTCTCTTCTGTAAATCATTCATATCTTCTGCTCAACTTTTTATTAGATTGTTTTTCTTATCAAATTGTAGGACCTGTATATATTCTGATATGTTGAAAATATCTTCTCTAATCTGTCACTATCTTTTTGCTTTGGATGGGGTCTTTTGTTACACAGAAAATTTAAATTATGATGCAATCAATTCCTCCTTTTATTATTTTGGCTTTTTGTGTCTTGTGTTCTGTACCTTGAGAATAGAAATATTTCCCCCTGTATGTTCTTCTAACAAATTTAACTTTTGTTTTTCATATTTAGAGCTTTAATCCAACTGGAATTTATTTTTCTATTATGTGTTGAGTAAGAATCTAACTTCATTTTTTCCCCAGCAGGGCAAGCCAATTACTCCATTTATTGAATTGTCCATCATTTCTCAACTATCATCTGTATAATACATTATTTCAAATTTTATATGAGGCTATTTCTGGAATCTCTGGCCTATTCTATTAATTTATTTTTCTATCCCTATCCCAATATTTCACTATTTTAGGTACAACAGCTTTCTAATGAGCCTTAATTCTTGGTAAAAACAAGCCTCCCTTTGTTCTTATTTTTAAAATGTTTCTCAAAATTTTGAAATGGTGAAATTTGGTATCAGTTTATTGGGTTCCAAAAAAGTTCTGTTATTGAGTTTCTGGTTTGAGGCATTGACTTTAGAGATTAATTTGGGAAATAATTGATATATTTATGATTTCATTCAGGTCTATTCTTATGTCCTTCAATAATGTTTTATAATTTTCTTCAAAAATGTCTTCCCACCTTTTGATAGATTTATTTCTATGTACCTTACAGTTTCTGTTGCCATTGTGTATATAATTTTGTTATACCACATTTTCTAATTACTATTGGTTATTCCCAATATATGGGAACAATATTGATTTTTGTGTCTTGCTCTTATATCCAGCAGTTTTCCTGCAGTTTGTAAATAATTTTGGATTATCTATACATACAGTATTGTCTGCAAACAACAATAATTTTTTTCTCCTATTCTATTTAGCTCTTCTTTTTCTTGTCTTATTGCAAAGGCTAAGACTCCAGTACAATGTCAAAGAGCAGGAATCGTTGATGTTTCTACCTTTAATGAGAATGCATCTAAAGTTTCACCATTACATATTATATTTATGGTAGGTTCTCTTCACTTTTTAATTTTTAAAAGATACTTAGTTTTACACACACACATATTATAAAGAGTCAAATTATTCTACAGTAGTGGTTATGAGAAAAAGTAATTCCCCATACTACTAATATTTTTCAATTTCCTATTTTTCGTTTTCTTCCATTTTTTACTTTTTCACTAAAGAAAACTGTATCCATATACAAAAGCAGAGAGAATAGCATGAGGAAACCCCATGCTTCCATCACCCAGCTTTAACAATTACCAACAGATAGCCAGTCTGTTTCATCTAAATCTTTATCCATTTCCTTCCATCCTAAGATTATTTTGAAGCAAATGTCAGACATCATATCATTTTATCTGTAAGTATTTCATATATGTATTTCTAAAGGATAAGGACTCTTAACTATAACTATAACACCTTACCATCCCTGTATTAGTCAGGGTTCTCCAGAGAAATAGAACCAATAGGAGATTTGTGTGTGTGTGTGTGTGTGTGTGTGTGTGTGTGTGTGTGTGTGTGTAAAGAAAGAGAGAGAGGAGATTTGTTATAAGAAATTAGGTACATAATTTATAGAGGCTGAGACATCCCAAAATCTACAATTGGCAAGCTGGAGACCAAGGAGAGGCAAAGTATAGTTCCAGTCTGAGTCTGAAAGCTTGAGAACCAGGAGAGCTAATGGTGTCAGTTCCTGTCTGAAAGCCAGCAGGCTTGAGACTCAAGGAGAACAGATTTTCCAACTGGGGCTTCAAGATGGGAAAACAACATTTCCCAGTGTAAGCAGTAAGGCACAAAGAGTTCCCTTTTATTCAAGGGAGGATCTGCCTGTTTGTTCTATTCAGGCCTTTACTGATGGGATGAGGCCCACCTGCATCAAAGAAGAGCAATCCACCTTATTCAGTTTATTGATTTAACTGTTAACCTCATCCAAAAACACACCCAGAATAATGTTTAACAAACATACTCAGAATAATGTTTGACCAAATATCTGGACCCCCATGGCCCAGTCAAGTTGATACATAAAATTAACCATCACAATCTCTAAAACTATTAATAATTCATTAACATTATCACATATTTTGTCAGTGTTCATAAATTCTTAATTGTCTAAAAACAATGTTTTATTGTCTTTAAATTTTTAGTGGTTTATTTGTTTGAATCCAGATTCAAATAAGGTTCATGCACTGGCATTGTTTAATGTGTCTCTTAGGTCTGTGATTTGTAGATTACACTGCCATCCCTTTGTATGCTTTGTTCCTTGCAGTGTTGTTGTTGAAGAAACCAGATTGTTTTGTAGAATTTCCCATGATGTATGTTTTCAAAATTGCATCCCTGTTAAGTTGTTTAACAAGTTTCTTTGTTTGCTGATGCCTGATTAGATTCTGGTTAGATTTGTTTAGTTTAGTTTTTTAGCAAGAGTGTTTCATAGGTGTTATTGGGTGCATCATATGTAATGTGTGATTGTCTCTCTTTCTGTGATGTTATCAGCCATTGTTAATTATTGCACAGATCCAATAATTCATCAGAATTGCAAAATGATCATATTCTATTATTGCTTCATTGTTTATTACTTTAAATAATTCTGTAAAGAGAATCTTCTCTCATTAACTATTTGGTTATCCTTAGGCATAGTTTGTACAGAAAAGACAGAATAAATGCTTCTTTTTCTATTATTAATAGTTTTCAAGATAATAAATTTGTTTTCTGGAATTCTTCAAATCATGGATTTTTTTTTTTTTTTGAGACAGAGTCTTGCTCTGTTGCCCAGGCTGGAGTGCAGTGGCACGATCTCGGCTCACTGCAACCTCCGCCCTTCCAGGTTTAAGCAATTCTCTGCCTCAGCCTCCGGAGTAGCTGGGATTACAGGTGTGTGCCACCATGCCCGGCTAATTTTTTTTGTATTTTTAGTAGAGATGGAGTTTCACCATCTTGGCCAGGCTGGTCTTGAACTCCTGACCTCGTGATCCACCCGCCTCTGCCTCCCAAAGTGCTAGGATTACAGGCATGAGTCACCACGCCTGGCCAAATCATGGATTTAAACATATTTTATATGTTTGAGTCACTTATAGTTACTACTTTGATGCTCAAATTGTCCCGACTTTGGCAAATGGAGCTGATTTATGTTGGTACCTTAGTCCTTTTGTGTTGTTTTTTGTTTATCAATGAATATTTTCTTTAAAAATTTAGTGTATATATCTTTTTTTTTTTTTGAGACAGTCTCGCTCTGTCTCCCAGGCTGGAGTGCACTGGCATGATCTCGGCTCACTGCACCCTCCACCTCCTGGGTTCAAGCGATTCTCCTGCCTCAGCCTCCTGAGTACCTGAGATTACAGGTGCCCACCACCATGCCCCCGCTAATTTTTGTATTTTTAGTAGAGATAGGATTTCACCGTATTGGCCAGGCTGGTCTCGAGCTCCTGAACTCAAGTTGTCTTCCTGCCTCAGCCCCCTAGAGTGCTGGGATTACAGGCATGAGCCACCATGCCCAGCCCTAATGTATATGCCTTTTTAATTGAGAAACAATTCAATATACCATAAAAGTCACCATTTTAAATTGTACAGTTCAATGGGTTTTTTTGTTTGTTTGTTTGTTTGCGGGGGAGTCTCTTTCTGTCGCCCAGGCTAGAGTGCAGTGGCACAATCTCGGCTCACTGCCAGCTCCGCCTCCCAGGTTCACACCACTCTCCTGCCTCAGCCTCCCGAGTAGCTGGGACTACAGGTGCCTGCCACCACACCCGGCTAATTTTTTGTATTTTTAGTCATGTTAGCCAGGATGGTCTCAATCTCCTGACCTTGTGATCCGCCCCCTCAGCCTCCCAAAGTGCTGGGATTACAGGCGTGAGCCATCACGCCCGGCCAATGGTTTTTAGTATATTCAAAAAGTTGTGCAACTATCACCACCATCTAATTTCAGGATAACTGCCTTACCCGAAGAAGAAACCACATACCCATTAGCAGTCGCTACCCATTCCCCCTCCCACTCCCAGCTCCTGACAACTACCAATCTACTTTCTGTCTCTACAGATTTTCCTGTTCTGGGCGTTTCATGCAAATGAAATCATATAATATGTGGCCTTTTGTGACTGGCTTCTTTCACTTAGCAGAGTGTTTTCAAGGTTCATCCATATTTTAACATGTAGCAGTACTTCCTATCTATGGATAAATAATATTCCCTTGTATGGATATACCACATTTTATCTTTTATCAGTCAATAGACATTTGGGTTGTTTCCACCTTGGGCAGGTTACAAATAATGCTGCTAGTGAACATTCATGTGCAAGTTTTTGTGTGGACATACGTTGTTAATTTTGGGGGTATATACTTAGGAATGAAATTGCTGGGTTATACGATAACTCTGTTCACGTTTTTGAGGAACTGCCAAACTTTTTCAAAATTGGCTGTGCCATTTTATCCTGAGTCCTTTCTATAAAGTCTTAGCATTCTTTGATAGCTCTATTGCTTTCTGGCATGGCAAGACATTTTTGATGTAAGTGGCATACTGTATATTTTTTGTAATTCTTTTTTTCATTTAACATATCCTGCAGACTACTTCATGGGAGAATTCAGAGATGTTTCTCTTTCCTTTTTGCAGTTTTTTTAATACTCCAGTGTATGGAAGTACCATACTTTATTCATCCAGTCACCTTTGACAGGCATTCTGATTGTATCCAGTCTTGCTATTACAAATAGTGCTATAATAAATTGCCTCTTTCTATACATAGATAAATAGATCTATGTATAAAGATATATATGTATGTATGTTTTTTTTGTGTGTGTGTGTGTGTGTGTGTGTGTATCTTTTCATATTTCACTAGTATAATCTTTGTGTTAGGCGCCTAGAAGTGAGATTCCTGGGTTAAGGGTATATGCATAAACAATTCTGCTATATATTGCCAAATTATCCTCTGTAGGGATTGAACCAATTTGCATTATGACTGGGAATGCATGAGAGTGTCTGTTTTCCCAGTCTTGCCAACAGAGTATTCTTAAATTTTGGATTTTTGCCAATTTGATAAGTCTAAAATAGTATCTCAGTTTAGCTTTGATTTGAATGCCTTTTAAGTGAGGTTGGACATCTTTTCATAATGTTAAGGGCCATTTGCATTTCTTTTTCTAATAATTATTGATATCTCTAGCTGATTCTTCTGTGATTGCTGACCTTTTTAATTATCCTTTTTGAGAAACTTTATATACCATGGAAATTAACCTTTGTCTGACATTTAAGTTGCAAATATTTTTTCCCATTTTGTCACTGATCTTTTTACTTGACTTATGGTATTTCTTGATGTAGGTCATCATTTTAAATTCAATTTAGTAGATTTATTTGCTATTAACCTTGATATTTTTAAATAACAAATAGATACTGCCACTTCTTGATTTTTTAGTTTTAGGAATTTTCTACTCACCTTCCCTTTGGTAGATGAGAAGATAGTACCCTTCCAGCAAAGACTCACCACTCACATTGCACATTTTCAGAACCCCACCCTCCCAATATAGTAATGGGAACAGTGACTTGTGCGTCCTCATCTGAAACTGATGTCATAAGAACCAAAAGTTGGATCTTAAGGGAATAATAAAGAGTTTGTGAAGCTCCCTCTCAAAAATATAGTTAAAAATAAAAAACAAGGCACAATTTATCCTCAGATAATTTAATCAAATCTTTTAAAAAAGGATTTGCTTCCCTGGATTTGAATGTTGGTTTCTACATTATCAAGCAGTAGATGTAAGAGGCAGAGAAATCTAAATCCAAATTGTTAGGTGTCACTTCCATTGAAGAAGAAAGAAGTTCTGTTTTCATATGTTCAACTTGAACACCATGTTTTCAGGAACAGATCTATCATGAAAAATAAAATGTGTTTCTCAGAATACATATTTATCAATGTATCTTTATTTAACAATCTCCCATTTTTGCGAAAGGATGAATTCAAAATTCTTCTGGCATTATTACTTGCCAAAGAAGAGTGGGGACATGTGTCCCTCTTCTGCCATACTGTGACCTGGACAGAAGAAAGTGAATAACGACATTTTTCTCCCTGAAGCCTTCGGGAGCTTGGCCTGCAGAAGCCTCTTCTTGGTTAGGACTCAGAACCCTCTCAGAACATTGTGACCTGCCAGAGCTGGCATTGCACAGAGACCTTCCTGGGCAACCCTTGATTCACCGTCCCATAAATGTCCAGATGGAGGAAGTGGTCTGGGGAAGATGGACCATTACGAAGATTAATGCACCTTTTATAGCTAGGAGCAGCCCTTGATGTTGCCATTGCCTTCTGTTAGGTTGGTTTAACACTGAGTTTGATGGCCAGTAAACAGGTAAAAGGAATTGTATGAAGGACAGGAGGGTTAACCTGGCCAGTTTTGACTTCAGGGACTCCCAGAAAGTCTCCATTTGGCTCTTCTAATCATAAAATAACCTGTATAGTCACAAAATGTTGCAGTTGAAAGAGACTCATCTTTTGGTTCTGGCCAAGAGGCTGAGGACTATGGAAAGGACCTCAAAGATCATCAAGTCCCATTCTTTCATTTTCCAGAAGAAAGTCCAAACTGAAAGCCAAAGAGACAGGTGGAGTTCTTTTTTTTTTTTTTTTAAGACAGAGTTTCGCTCTTGTCTCCCAGGCTGGAGTGCAATGGTAGGATCTTGGCTCACCGCAACCTCCACCTCCCGGGTTCAAGCGATTCTTCTGCCTCAGCCTCCCGAGTAGCTGGGATTACAGGCATGCGCCACCACACCCAGCTAATTTTTGTATTTTTAGTAGAGACTGGGTTTCTCCGTGTTGGTCAGGCTGGTCTCGAATTCCCGACCTTAGTTGATCTGCCTGCCTCGGCCTCCCAAAGTGCTGGGATTACAAGCTTGAGACACCACGCCCAGCCTACAAATGGCATTCTTAACATGGCACAGAGCTGGTCTAGACTGGAGCAGGGGAGGGCCGGGACCTAAGTCTCTTTTTTCCCCTTCTGTGCACCGCTCCCTGAGGGCAGCAGTTCCTCATCCTGGTTGCACATTCAAATCTCCAGGACAAATTGTAAAATGCCTAAGCCTCACCCACAGTGATTCTGATTCGCTGCCTTAGGGCAAAACATTCAGCCCTGGAGCCAATAAAGCCAACTAAACTTCTACGATGGGCTGTGTAATAATTTGTATAGTATATGATTTGTGCTTTTATAGGGGCTTTTAGAGAGTAGATCAGAGAAATGACTCGAATAGTGGTAAGAATTTCAGTCGCCCCATCGGATCAGGGGCATATGTGTGTACAGTGGTTTTGGGAGGCTCTCAGGCCTGTGAGGGGATCTAGTGCCTAGGCATCCTGGCAGCCGGAAACACAGAGGAACTCTATAAAGGGCTTTCCCTCTCTAGTGCCTAGGCATCCTGGAATCTAGAGAGGGGTAGCTCTTTATAGAATAGGAACACTCTCCCTGGAAGCCCCTCGGCAGACCTCAGCTCCAAGGGGGAAGAGGCAGAGTTAGTACGAGATAGTTTCATTGGCAATGGGGCTGGAGTCTCCAGGGGTACGTACTTAGCTCTCTGACATGACTTCTTAGAAGAGGAGGCAATCTTACTATGCTCAAATAACACCACCCTTGACTCCTTTGGGAGAACAGTTGAAACTTTCAACTAGTTATTATCAGTTCATGAAAAAGTTTTAGTTTTTCTTTTAAGCTCGTTGTAGCTATCAGACCTCCAATAAGTTTCCTTAATGACCTGAGGGCAGTGATTCACAGACGATAGATGCATAGCATAGCTTTCTAGTTTCTGGGAAAGCTGGCCCCAGCCAACTTGTGAGCTTGACTGTTTGAGGCTGGGAGCCCTGTGGAGGGAGGGGTCCAGGGTGCAGGAGCAGGGAGGTGCACAGCTGCTGAGCCCAAGAGGTGGGAGGCTGGGGACGGCTGCTGAGTCCAGCTTCCTCCTATTCTTGTATTCAGTGCCAGAGCTTCCTTGATCCTCTAGAGAAGTAGAGTCTTAAGCAAGACTCATCATTAAGTTGGCTCAAGTACACGCCTGGTTCCTCTCCTTCAGCTACAACAAGAGGAGGGAGGTTTGGCTTCAGTGTCTTCCTAAACCTGCTTTCAGAGACCTGTGCTTCTTTTTTCCTTCTACTTCCTGCCCCACAACCTGCCCCGCCCCCCAATCCTGCCATGTTCCCAATATTCTCATGTGCATTCCCCCATAGCAAGTGTTACTGCTCAGGTTGGGTTGGTGGATGGGTAAGTGGCAGCCTGTGTTACAGACATCCTTCTTCATTTATCTTCCCATCAACACTTACCAATTCTGTGCCCACTGATGGTGGCAGAGGGCAGGGGAGTTCATTAATCCATGTAGCCAATGTGCACAGGTAGGCAGCATGAAGGCTGAGTTGTCTATTAGGCACCTCTGTATCCCCAGCTCTCACCATAATTCCTGGCACATAATGGGTACTCAATAGCCCTTTATTGGAAGGAGGGATGGATGGCAGATATGGGGGAAAGAAACACTGGACCTGAAATGGGGAAACCTGAGTTCTCCTCTCGGTACTGCCAATGACTCAGTATACCCTTGATAAAGTCACTTCATCACTCTGGCCTCAGTTTTCTCTTATACAAAACAAGGTAGTTAGATTGGTTGATCACTAAGGTCCTTGCAGTACCTCTTTTAGGGTCCTATGATGGTACAATTCCACAATATCTTGACCCATGCTGAGCTGTTAGGGCTACGTGCTGAGGAATATATGCTGAGCTGTTATTCTTCTCAGGTGATACCGATGTTTAAAACAGGCCTTCTGAAAAATAGCACCCAACCCAAGGAGGGACTCTAATTCTGAAAATTCAGAGCTAAAGGGGGAAGTCGTGGGCCAGATTTGTGGGCACAGATTCCGAGTCAGAGTCCCACTCAACAACCAGGATTGGCAACTGCCCGGACAGAGGATGTCTGAATGTCATACAGCAGGCCAGGCTTCAGGGGTGGTGGGATCGTAGGTGAGCAATCTCATTCAGAGAAATAATGTCCCTCTTTGAGATGCCTCCCATACTGGTCCATGCCATGTTCCCTTCCTATGATCTGGCTTAAATTCAAGTCTGGTCTTTAACATACTTCTACCTTCAGAATCTGGTGTCCTGTTCCCCTCAATGAAAAAAAAAAAAAAGTCATTGTATAGCCAAAAATATATTTTTAAAGGACCAGTCTAAAGTAGAATTGCTGGTACATTTCTATAGTGAACTTTTGATGAAATAAAGATATTCCTGACAAAATATTGCATAGGAGGGCAGATTTAAGTGAACCAGTACGTTGGAAAGAAGCACAGACTAGATTTTGTTTGCTTTTTAGTATCTACCTGGTGCCAGCTCTATCAAGACATGATTCCAGATTCTTGCTATAAGCCTGGAAAATAAACCCTGTATTATTTTCCTTCCCCCCCACCCCACAATGGTGAGTAAATTGAAATGATTCAGAGAGGTTGAGTGACTTACCCAAGGCTCTTACAGTCAGTAAGTGGGGGATTACAATTCCAAGTCTTTTCCAGATAAGACTCCAAAATTCAGTGTTTCTTGCTGCTCCTGGGTACTTAGAGAAGGTGACATACAGCTGCAGCATCTCCATTATCTCCTTAATAGAACCAATAATACTAACAACAAGTAACATTTACATAACCCTTTAGAATTGAAAAATTACTTTGATCTTACATTATCTCATTTAATTCTCACCGTAGTCCTTCCTAGTGGATATTTCAGTCCTAATTTTAAGACAGGCATTGAGGTTCAGAGGAGCTAATTACTACACCAAGATCACACAGCATATAAAGACTGATATAAGGGATGAGAACAAAAATCCTTTGGGGTTCTCCTAGGGAGTATAAAGGGATTCTGAGTATAAAAATCTTGAGAATCACCATTCCAAGCCAAGCGTTCTTCTCAGCTTTGCATTTCTGCCTGCTTTTATCAGTCACACAGACTTCACATCCAGGAATCATAGACTCACAGAGCTTGAAACATGGAAAGGCTCTCAAAAATGATCTAGGCTGGCTGGGGGCAGTGGCTTAGGCCTGTAATCTCAGCACTTTGGGAAGCTAAGGTGGGAGGATCACTTTAACTCAGGAGTTTAAGACCAGCCTGGACAACATAGTGAAACCCATTTCTACCAAAAAAAATTAGCCAGAGACAGTGGTGCACACCTATAGTCCAGCTACTTGGGAGGCTGAGGCTAGAGGATCACTTGAGCCCTGGGAATCACTTGAGCCTCGGAGATTGAGGCTGCAGTTAGCCTTGGCTGTGCCACTGCACTCCAGCCTAGGTGACAGAGCAAGCCCCTTGTTTCAAAAAAAAAAAAAGTAATCTAGCCCATCAGTTTTCAAAGTGGAACCCAAGAGTTCCCCAAAGGTGCTGCAGGGGCTCCCTTGGGGGCAAAGTCTAGGCCAAGGGGGTGAGGTTCCTAGAAAAATTACTATTCATAAAACTAACACTAGGGTCTCTCTTAGAAAAGAATTGCCTTTGCTTAGGAAAAGATCTAATAAGCTCCAGGGAGATAGAGGTAAGGCCCTGGTGGTATGATCTGGAAGGCAGCAAGGAAGAGATGGTTAAACCAGTAACATGAAGAATTAACAGGATTTGGAAAGTGAGGAGGAGTTAGAGAGAGGAGGAGGGAGAGAGGGCCGGCACTGTGGCTGAACGCCAGCGCGGAGTCAGCAGGAATGGTACCTGTGCTTTTTAAGAACTGGGAAGTTTAATTTTAGCTGTGTGCTCTAATGGCCCTGTGATGTACACATGCCATCCCTGGCTCCCCTCCACACATAGATGCCTCATGTAGACACGTTTGAGAAGACGGGAGGGGATTGAGAAAAAGTCGTGTCCTATATTTCTGCCAAATGTTGAGGCAGAGAGGAAGAAAAAATTGCAAAATGCAGAATGTGGCAGAGCTACACATTGGAGCCAAGGTGACAGGGAGTAAGCAAGGGCATATGGATTCACAGAATGTATGGGGTGGGGGTTCCGGAGGGTCTTCTCCAGATCCTGAGGAGCAGGCGACCCATTGATATCAAGACTAGCACAGGCCTGGTGCAGTGGCTCATGGCTGTAATCCCAGCACTTTGGGAGGCCTAGGTGGGCGGATCACATGAGTGAGTTCAGGAGTTCAAGACCAGCCTGGACAACATGGCGAAAATCTGTCTCTTCTAAAAATACAAAAATTATCCAGGCATGGTGGCGCACACCTTTAGTCCCAGCTACTCGGGGGGCTGAGGCAGGAGAATCGCTTGAACCCAGGAGGCGGAGGTTGCAGTGAGCCAAGATCACACGACTGTACTCCAGCCTGGGGGACAGAGTGAGACTCTGTCTCAAAAAAATAAAAAATAAAAAAAAAAGCAATAATGAAAGCTCATATGCATACTGAAATTTTATAAGCTTCTCTCTAGATATTCCAGTTGCAATATTCTGGATAAATTTACTAAAGCTGCCCTTTTCTATTTTTTTTTTTTTATTCCTCTGCTTTGCTGGGCCCTAAATATGGACCTAGTCTTCCTATGGGGTAGTCAGGACTAGCTAGGGAGGCAGAGTGGGTGAAATAAATCAGGGGATCTTTTGGGAGGGGTTGGTGGTGGTGAGCTTTTAGCCACATTTTCACATGGGGTGTTGAACATGGAATGAAAGTAAGAAGGGGGAAGACACTGACAGGAGATGAGGCTGACAGGGGCAGAGGGCCTGCCGCTTCTGGGTAAAGTTGAACTCAGCCCAGACTGTTCTAGAATCCAGACAAGTGAGCTGCACACACACAAAAAAAAATGTGAATATCCCTCCAGAGCCAGGGCAGGTTGCTTCCGCTCCTGTGTTCCTCCGCAGTCAGCATCGGGTGTGCAGGGCTCTGAGTCCTCAGAGAATGCATCCCTTGACTTAGAGGAAAGGGCCAGAAAATGCCACTGGCCGACACAAAGCCAAAGGATCCCCTGGAAATGGCTGCACATGGCAGTCTTTAGATACTGACTTGAGGAGATGCTATGACTGAGTGACTGAGTGAAGCCAAGGAGACTGAATTGGAGCTTCAAACACACATCACTCTCTGAAAGGCGCTCAGAATGTCTATGATTAAAAAACAACAAAAATCTGTCTATATTTTTCTATTTTATTTTTTGAAATTAGCATTTCCTAAAACATTTAATCATGGGGTCCTTTTATATATAAGGCAGAAGTTGCATACTGAATCTGGCCTGGATATGTTTTGTTTTCTTTAATGAAGTTTTTTTTGGCTTGTTTTCTGTTTTTTGTTTTTTGAGATGGTGTCTCACTCTGTCACCCAGGCTGGAGTACAGTGTGTGATCTTGGCTCACTGCAACCTCCGCTTCCCAGGTACAAGTGATTCTCTTGCCTCAGCCTCCCGAGTAGCTGGGACTATTGGCACGAACCATCATGCCTAGCTAATTTTTGTATTTTTAGTAGAGACGGGGTTTTGCCATGTTGACCAGGCTGGTCTCAAACTCCTGACTTCAGGCGATCCACCCACTTCAACCTCCCAAAGTGCTGGGATTACAGGTGTGAGCCACCGTGCCCAGCATCATGAAGCATTTTTAAAATTAGTTTGAGTTGACTGCCAACACTTAAAAATCAAGTGATTTCACCTAAAAATCCAGTTTACCAACTTCTCTTGAAAAAAAATCAGACCTGGTAACTTCAGGGCCTCGTTCTCACCTGGCCACAGTCTGCTGGAGTTGAGCAGTAGTCATCTTGCAAAGGGGTGTGCCCACCCCAGCTTACCAGAGTCCCCAGAACTCACCACTGCCCGCTCACCCCACTGAGCATTCATTGCCATTATCTTCATGTCTGTATTATTTTTTTCTTGTAGTAAACAGCATGAAAGTCCGGGCACGGTGGCTCACACCTATAATCCCAGCACTTTGGGAGGCCCAGGAGGGTGGATCACTTGAGGTCAGGAGTTCAAGAC
The DNA here is from genome assembly GCF_000001405.40 of Homo sapiens. Taxonomy (NCBI): domain Eukaryota; kingdom Metazoa; phylum Chordata; class Mammalia; order Primates; family Hominidae; genus Homo; species Homo sapiens. The sequence goes on from NC_000001.11 coordinate 206,133,469, forward strand.
CAGCCTGGCCAACATGGTGAAACTCCATCTCTACTAAAAAATACAAAAATCAGCTAAGCATGATGGCACGTGCCTATAGTCCCAGCTACTCCAGAGGCTGAGGCAAGAGAATTGCTTGAATTCGGGAGGCAGAAGTTGCAGTGAGCCGAGATCGTGCCACTGCACTCCAGCCTGGGTGACAGAGTGAGACACAATCTCAAAAAAAAAAAAAAGAAAAAAGAAAAAGAAAAGAAAAAGAGCACAAAGAAGCATATTTATATTCAAGTTTCTATTGAGATTGTTTTATTCAGCTTGTTTCCTTTATGCTATGTACCTGGACCCCGTTGCATTTACATTTATGAGCCCTGTCATAACACCTGTCAACATCACATAGAACCAGAAAAAGGGAAGAGTTGCCAAACTGTCTCCTCTGCCCCCACCCTCACCCCTATACATCTGTATACAAATACAAGAACTAGTACTGAAGAAAGCCCTGGGCCATGGTGCTGTCCAGGGTACAGTCACCTACCTTCCCGCAGAGTATCAAGGATACCTCAGGAAAACACAATGAGAAACATAGCTGATATGAAGAAAGTTGTAACCTTTCGAGATGGTGTTATGTGGCTATTAGAAAAGGCATATCAAGGAAAAGAGTCCACTCAAGGGAAACCCCGTTCTTGGAAACAGGTGTTCTGTTGTAAAGTCCAAGGGTAGCTCTCCCTCAGCTTCTTCCACAGCCCTCCCCACCCTTTGAGCTAATTTCATGCTCACCAAGCAACCTCCTAGTTATAAATTCCATACCAGGAAATGTGTGTCTTGGAAAGCAAATGTGAATATTCTGGTTGCCGGACAGCTGTGCTTGTTCACGACTCATTTGTAAATTGGCCTCTTAGCATGCATGTTTCTTTTTTCTTTTCTTTTTTTTAAGACAGAGTCTCGCTGTGTTGCCCAGGCTGGAGTTCAGTGGCACAATCTCAGCTCACTGCAACCTTCGCCTCCCAGGTTCAAGCGATTCTCCTGCCTCAGCCTCCCAAGTAGCTAGGACTGCAGGCATGAACCACCAGGCCCAGCTAATTTTTTGTATTTTTAGTAGAGATGGGGTTTCACCATATTAGTCAGGATAGTCTCGATCTCCTGACCTCGATCCGCCCTCTTCGGCCTTCCAAAGTGCTGGGATTACAGGCGTGAGCCACCACACCTGGCCGGCATGCATGTTTCTTACAAGGTTAGGTTATCACAGTTCTATAACCCCCAGGACCATTAATAAAACTGGGCTCCTGGTATTATAAAACTGAGGAGCTAATCAGGCAAAACTCAAACACTGGCATCCTTACCAAGGGATAGATTCATCTGCCAGCCAGCCACCTTTTTGCTGCTAGAGGGAGATGGGCCTGTCTGGAGTTTTGGGTGCTGCGTCTTCCAGCCCCTGCTGCGGAGGTCTGCAATAGGAGACTGGTGGGTCCTGGTGCAGTTTGCTACTGAGCTCTTACTGTCCCTGGGCTCTGACCCTGATTAGTGCCTTCCTCTGTGCCTGACCCAGAGGAGTACTATGTAAATGTTTGTGGAAACAATCTCCAATGGAAACATTTTAGCAGGGACCAGGTGACCATCCATCAGATATGCCTACAGGGATCCTTGCTCTGTTTGGGAGGCTGCACTTCTTGATTTCAGAAGTCTCTTCCCTCTCTGATGCTACATCTCAGCTTCCTGGGCTGGCTGGTAGCAGAGGGCAGAGCAAGGAGATGTGAGAACAGTGCTGGCGTTCGGCCAGTCAGCAGTCTCGGGTGGGTCTCTGAAATGAGAAAACAGTACTATTGCCCAGTACGCATCTAGCAGCTTCCTAGTAACCAGAGGTGCTCTCTTCAGATCCCTGGATGCCCAGGAAAGGGAGATGAGGTAGGGGAGGAGAGAAGGAACACTTTTATCAGCTCAGTATTCCTTTGAGGCAGCAGGTGCTAGCTTAGGGCAGGGCATATAGGGAATGTGGGCGTGCTGGGTAGGGGTTGGGGATTTTGCCCACTCAAGCAAGACAAGCAGGAGGGGCCAGACAGCTGCAGGGGGTGGGGGTGGATGTGCATGTAGTTAGCCCTGCTGCTAATGGTAAAAATGTTACACATCCTTTAATTAGGTTGAGTAAAGGGTTACACTAGGGGAGAGTTTTGGGGTGTAGTTTGATGCCCTGCCAGCACCCATGGGTGGTGAGTGAGCAGATGAATGTAGCTGACCCCTGTATTTCCTCTGTGCCCTGCTCTAGACTGGCACCCAAAGTCTCAAAGGAAAACTGTGCCAATAAACCTATCCCTCCTAGGATGCCTACAACTACCAGCTTGAAGCATTGCTTTTACATTTTTCAGAGAAAAGATTGTAATGAGCCCATAACCCACCACCTCAATTTAACATTATTTTCATTTTGCCATATTCACTTCATTTTCGTTTTTTTCTTTCGATTTGTTTTGGAGACGAAGTCTCGCTCTGTCGCCCAGGCTGGAGGGCAGTGATGTGATATTGGTTCACTGCAACCTCTGCTTCCCGGGTTCAAGCGATTCTCTTGCCTCAGCCTCCCAAGTAGCTGGGATCACAAGCGTGTACCACCACACCTGGCTAATTTTTGTATTTTTACTAGAGACGGGGTTTCACCATGTTGGCCAGACTGGTCTCAAACTCCTGATCTCAATTGATCCACCTGCCTCGGCCTCCAAAACTGTTGGGATTACAGGCGTGAGCCACTGTGCCCAGCGCATATTCACTTCATTTTTATGCAAATCTCAAGCATCATGAAATAGGAAGCTTTAAAAAATCAGGATGTTGTCTCACATAACCATTATAACATTATCACATCTGACAAAATGAACAATAATTACTAAACGTCCTCTAACACCCAGTCAATATTCAAATTTCCCCAGCTGTCCCAATAATGAGTTTGTATGGTTGGTTGGTTTGCAGCAAAGCTTTTGAAACAGCTTTCCTGGAGCCTCTGGCTTCCACCCAAGTGTCTCAAGGGCCAGCAAGGGTGAGGCTAAGGGGGAAGGCCCAGGCCCCTGCCCCTGCTTCGGCCAGAGCAGTTTTTATTATTAGGGACAAAAAGTGAGTTTTCTGTTAAAAGAAAAAACAGAAAATCATTTCCATAAGGCACTATTTCTCTTATATTTTTCAAAGAGAATGTCTGGTGCTATAAATATCTTAAACCTGAGGGATAACTTCCTAGTGGTGGGAGAGTGGGATCCCTTGCTGGTGCAGAGTGGGGATGGAATGAAAGGATTTGGGAGAGAGTTGGACGGCTATAAAAGGAAGAATTTTATTCCCGCTGGGGATGACTCTGGATTCACAAAACAGACTTTTCCAGTACAAACAGAATATTTTGGATTTGCTTGGTAGTTTCTCCCTGACTGCTAATACATCTAATGCTTCACCTTTGCCCTTTCTAGCTACCTAGATCCCATTCTATAGAATCCCACCTAGTTCTTGCTCATTCATAGGACAGAGTTGTACAATCCGAGTCCAGTGAATTTTGAAACCCTCCCCTGCTCTGTTTATACTTTCCACTTTCCCAGGTATACTCCAGAGAACCTGACCTCAGGGAAATGGTCTTCCAAAATTCTAATCATTACAGTTTGATATTAACAAAACAAATAGTAACACAGAGTATCCATAACACAAACCTATCAGTAGTGAAGCAAGGGTTATTCTTCCAAGATGCAACAAATCAGCAATCTGACCCAGCAAGGGGCTACAGCTATTGTTATACCAGCCTAAAAAAGAAAAGCATGGATAACAAGAAAAGTGAGAAATTCTAGGAAATTCTGACCTTTTCAGGGAAACTTAATAATCACAGCTTTCAATAATAGTTAAAGGCCAGGCGCGGTGCCTCACGCCTGTAATCCCAGCACTTTGGGAAGCCGAGGCAGGCGGATCACCTGAGGTCAGAAATTTTGAGACCAGCTTAGCCAACATGGTGAAACCCTGTCTCTACTAAAATACAAAAATTAGCCGGGCGTGGTGGCAGGCACCTGTAATCCTAGCTACTCAGGAGCTGAAGAACGAGAATTGCTTGAACCCGGCTGGCAGAGGTTGCAGTGAGCCAAGATCTCACCACCGCACTCGAGCCTGGGCAACAGAGTGAGACTTTGTCTCAAAAATAATAATAATAATAATAATAATAATAATAATAATAATAATAGCTAGAGACCTTTCTCCTCCTTCAGGGAATGTGCCCAGATTAACCTGCCAAAATACTCAATATGCTTTTGAGACTCTGGAAGTCATCAACTGAAGTTATCATCAACTAATAATGCTTGGCTGTATTGTCTGTCTTGTTCAACTGCAGAATTGTAAGCTCCATAAACATGGTGACAATGCCTATGTTATATACACACACATGTGCCCTGTAGATAATCAATTAACACATGTTTTTCCACTAATATGCAGATTATACACAAGTAAGCTCAGCTTGGGCAGACAAAAAACTTGGGAACATTTCACATCCTCTCCCATCACCAATATTTGTGTAGCTTTTCAGTAAGGATGGATAAGACTCTAGCTTGCCCTTGAATCTAACTGACATGTATAATCATTTACTAAGTGCCTAGTTCTCTTTGTGTGTTAGTCCATTTTGTGTTGCTATAAAGGAATACCTGAGGCTGGGTATTTATTTTTAAAAGATGTTTCTTTGGCTCACGCTTCCACAGGCTGGACAAGCATGGCATCAGCATCCACTCAGCTTCTGGTGAGGCTTCAGGGAGCTTTTAGTCATGGCGGAAGGGAAGAGGAGCTGGTCTGTCTTGTGGCAAAAGAGGGAGCAAGAGAGAGAGGAGGAGGTGCCAGCCTCCTTGAAACAGCCAACTCTTGCATGAACTAACAGATCAAGAACTCACTCATTGCCATGGGGAGGGGACTAAGTCATTCATGAGGGATCCATCCCTATTATCCAACACCTCCTGCTAGGCCCCACCTCCAACATTGAGAATCACATTTCAACACGTGATGTGGAGGGGACACACATCCACACCAAATCACTTTGGCTATAAAAGATGCATAAAATATGGTCCATGTAATGTAGTTGGTGACACCAACCTGCATGCAAAAAACATGAAGGAAGGCAAGATAGTGTATGCTTTTCCCTCTGTTTATCCAAACATGACCCTGCCTTTCAGGTCCAAATCAAATCTTCCCCACTCACTAAGCATTTATCATTCATTCCTATACTTGGTCAGATTTTAATGAGGACTTACTGAATCCCAGGTACAATATTCAGGAATCAGAGACAGGGCAGTGAACAAGATAGCCACAGTTCCTATTCAAGGACTTAACAAACCAATGATCTTGAAAAGTTATGTAACTCTTACATATGTAGGTATGCTGGCAAAAAAACTGTAAGCTCCTGAAAGGTCGTGATCATATCTTACATTCTTTTGCGATCTCCGTACCAGCTAACATTTGTCCATAGAACTTATTGAATAAAGTTCGAAGGGCTGGGTTGGGTGGAATTTTTAGTAAATGTGAAAAGCTATAAATTGATAGCAAAATCTCAACACAGAGAAATCTTAAAACACTAAGAACTCTTGCCCACTCCTCAAAACTCAAAACTCAAATGTCACCTCCTCCATGATGCCTTCCCTTAACTATTCAGGCAGGGTTCGACCCTTTCTTCTCTGAATCCACACAATTGGGTGAAGACCATGGATAAAACTTAGCACAGTTATTGTAATTACTAGTTTACTTGCTTCCCCTCAGATAAGTAGTTGGGTGTTTGGAGGAAAGGGGAGAGGGTCCCCAAGCCCTCCCAGGGAGACAGCTCCTCCCTGTTTCTTGAATGGAGAGACAGTAGAGAATGCACGTGCCCAGCAGGCTTTTTCCTGATAGAATGACAGACATACAAACGAACATTCACAAAATTACCACTCCATGTAAACATATGAATGATGGTCCTCCCAACTCTTTTCCTGAGAAGTTAAGGATAAAGTGTTTAATTGTACATTTTAAGATAAATTAAAGAGTGTAATTGGATTGTAACTCAAAGGATAATGGTTGAGGGAAAGAATACCCTATTCCCCATGATGTGCTTACTTCACATTGCATGCCTGTATCAAAACATCTCATGTACCCCATAAATATGTACACCTACTATGTACCCACAAAAATTTTTTTAATTTTTTAAAAAATAAATAAATAAATAAATCTAGCTCAAGAAGAACTAGAAAAAAAAAAAGAATAAATTGTTCTAGACCTTTGTGAAAGGGAAATGGTGTAATTGGAGACCACAGACCTGGAGGTTGAGTACCCCTATCAGAGTGGGGTAAGGAGACTTGGGGCTGTCTTCATTCTGCATTATGAGAAATAAGGAAGATGCTAGTAGTAGATAGTACTTGCTGTTAGGTAAAGGGGGATACATCTCAAAAGAAACCACTAGTAGCAGGTAGGGAAAAATTTTAACTGAGAAGGTAGAAATTTTACCCAAAGGAGAGAATTCTGGCAGCTATAGATAATGAGTGGTTTAGCTAACAGGACCCCTAGTGAAGGAGAGGTTGTGGTCATGAGCTGAGGGCAGCAGGGATCTAATCAGAGTCAGAGACGAGAATGTCCTGAAGGAATGGGAGAAACCAAGCAGGTCCAGAATTCCAGGGACAAATAACCCAGACAAATAACCCAGGCAGGAATTCAACCTTGAGAAACAGAGAGGAGATTCAGGCATGGCATTTGGTGAGGAGCGCACTATGTGATAGCTATTTTAGAGCTCAGCCTTCACAGCCAAATGGACCGAGGCTCAAACCTCAGCTTGATCAGGCAAGTTACTTAACCTCTCTAAGTCTCAGTCCACATCCCTATGAAATGAGGCTGTTGAGAGGAATAAATGAGACTATGTGTGAATAGGGTTTAGGACTATGCCTGGTTCATAGTAAATACTAAAATAGTCATTGCAAATGTAATGGTAATGGGGGAGGAATTAACAGGAGTAGAGGTAATAGTAAGAGTGGTGATGGTGGTAGTAACAAGGAAATATTCCAGAATCTGATTGCTGGAATTAAGATAGCTGTCCGTTGGCACTGAACTGGAAGTCAGGACATCAGACTCCAATCCTACTTTTGCTGAATGCTAGATATGTGATCTCATTCAAGTCAAAGGACTTCTCTGAGCCTCGGTCTTCTCACCTGTCAAGTGGAGGTGTTCACACTGGTTGTGCACTACTCCCAGAATTCCTGCGAGAATTTCATCAGATGCAGCATCTGCAACCACCAACACAGACACTTGATGAATGCTGACCCACTCCAATGGTCAGGATTCGCCAACAAGACTGACCTGAAACTGAATCAAATGTTCTCACCTTTCCTTTTCTGAAGGAGGGTAAGGCCAGAGTTTGGACCAGGTTGAACTTGCCAATGTGTTTGTGATATAGACAGGAGAAAGGAAAATACTGGGTAGAAGAGGGTAGTTCCCTGGCAAAGTCCCCACCCTCAAGCCTGGAAATCCATGGCCCTAAACGGGAACAGGCATTCCTGTTTTCATGCCCCAAAGTTGATAAACCCCAGTCTTCACAGGGAGATGAGGAAACAAACAGAAAAGCAGAAGAAGGGCAGAGCAATGCGGCAGAGGGAAGGAAAGGAATGTCTGAACATCAAGAGGAATTCAGCTGGGGGCATCTAGAGAGGAGATCCGCCACTGGACATTCAAATTCCAGGGAAAGATCATCTTCCCACTCCATCCCCCTTCTAACTCCGCATCCATCCTACTGAGAGCCACCTCCACCACTCAATAAAACCCCTGCATTCATCCTTCAAATCTGTGTGTGACCTGATTCTTCCTGGACACCGGACAAAGACCTGGGTACCAAGAGTGTCTACTGAGCTGTCTAACACTTAAGCCATCCCTGGACAGCAAGGCTAAAAGAGAGCACTGTAACACACGCCCACTTGGGCTTTGGGAGTTGCAGACACCCACCCATAGACACAACCATGGGGCTGGAGCCCAAAAAGCGCTCACCCTGACTCCTGCACCTGACTGTCTGCATGCTCCCCTTCCTGTAAGGGGTTTGAGCACCCAGCGGCTGAACATATGAGCCACCCCCAATCACACATCCTGCGAGGGGGGGTCAGGGAACTCTTCCATTTCATCTGTTTAAGTGGTCTTGGCTGAGAGACTGGTTTTCTGGGGGGCAGAGAATTAGGCAGGTCATCATTTTCTCCCTCAGTCATAAATCACCTCCAAATAATCCTGGCTGTCACCATCAGAAAGCTTAAACTCACCTTGAATCCAACCTTTGAGTTAAAAGGAACTTGGAATTCTTTCTTTGACTCCCTTGGGCATTTAGGTTTTAAATTCATTTGTAAACATTGGTTTGGAAAGAAATCTAGGTAGATCCAGGTTTGCAATTTTAATCCGAAGCCACATTTCTGGGCTTTCCTGTAGCATACCCACCTAACTGGAAAATCTAAAAGTAAATACATTTTGAAGAGAGAGAGAGAGAAAAAAAAAAAATAAGTTCCTGCTGCTCTCAGATGAGGCCTTTGCAACCTGTGAATGATGTTATCATTTTTTTGCCTGTACAAAAAATAGACAGCTTTATTTTCACTTTCTTCTAAGTCATTTATGCGACTACAAAGGTGGTAGTGGGAGTCTCTGAGAATTGTTTTATAACACTGTGGTGCCCTCCTTTGAAAAACAAAACCAAATTATCCATGTATAGCACTAAGTGAGGTGGACCTGAGCAAGGCATAGCAATGTTTGCTTTCTGCAGACATCTGAAGTGGGAGCCATGGTGACCAGGCATACCTGATGGCCACACAGCTATCCCCCAGCACTCAGAGGAGCCATCACAGGGATATTAGATCACATTAACATTTTAAAACCTACTAATGCACTTATCACACTTACTCAACTTGTCCGGTGGATCTGGTATTTCGATCAAAAGAGTTCTAAATAGTAGGGGGACCAACTGTCTTGGTTGCTGGGGAATGAGGGATTTCCTGGGATGTGAAACTTTCAGTAAAACAGGGACAGTCCCCCACAAACTGGGACAGTGGTCATCCTGCTAAAGAGTGTCCCATTTTCCTATTGCTGATGCCAACAAAAAATGACAAGGCGAAGAGTAGAGACAGCACGACCCCTTCTTTAAAGCAGTGATTATCGAACTTTAGCCTGCCTCAGAATCCCTTGGAGGGCGCAGGAAAGTGGCTTGACTAGAATTTCTGACTCAGTAGATCTGGGTAGGACCAAAGAATGTGCATTTCTAATGAGTCCCCACATGAGGCTGATACTGCTCGTCCAGGACTACATGTAAGAACCACTGCTCTAAACACTGGGTTCTTAGCTGCACATTGGAATCACCTGAAGACTTTTTAAAAAATGGGTGCTTTGATCTCACCCCTTAGAGGTTTTGATTTAATAGCTATGGAGGTATTTTTCAACCTTTCCAGGTAATTCTAATGTGCAACAAAGTCTGAGACCACTGCCCTAAAAGGCACTGAATTCAGGAAATGACTCGATTGACATTTGTTTCCTGACATTTGTTCATTTGACATTCAACATGTACTTGTTGAGCAACTACTATGTGCCATGCACTATGACAGAGGCTGTCTGGTTAGACTATATATGATCCCTTCCTCAAGGAGCTTACTGTTTCAGGGAAAACACAAGAAAAACAAGTCAACGAAAAATAATATACAATTAAAAATTGAGATAAGAGCCCTGGAAAAAAAAAGAGCAGGGACCTAGGGATCTAGGGGAATAAGGGTATGGGGAGAACTATTCTGGACAGAGATGTCATTGAGGATGTCTCCAAGATGACATTTAAGCCAAAACCAGAAAAATGAAGGCCAGCCATCCTGCGTATGGAGAGAAAAGCACTCCAAGGAAGAGAAAAAGTTCTCAGAACTGTCGGTCGGGAGGGGAGTGCTCCTGGAGGCAGAGAGCTGGGCAGGGCGACCTGAGACAAGGTCATGGGTGGGGTGGACAGGGCCACATCCCTCCTAGACCATGGGAACCAGCTGAAGTCATATTCTAAGTGCACTGGCAAGCACTGAGGGAGAACATTTCTGTTTTCATTTTATATTTGAAAGTATATACATTTTTAAGGCTGCCATGTGGAAAAGAGATTGGAAGCCTCTGAACCCAGGTTCTTCACCAAAGACAGATGAGAGCGAGGGATTCAGATGGTGACGAGTCATGAGAATGTCTCCCAAGGGTTGCTGAGAAGGGCTGCATGGGGTACACCGTGTGCGGCTGTAGCTTTCGGGAGAAGAACTGTGAGTGCCAGTCACATACGGTGGCTGAGTGCACGTCTCTTGTGCACTGCGTGGGCGAACTCACCAGATATTAAGTTACAGGCATCAGTTTAGCACCTCCACCTCTTTTCAGTGTGGACTTGGGCTGCAGGCTGTTCTAATGAGGGGCTGGCTTTACAGTTCCCTGTTAGATGAACTGGAGGTTCCAAGGCTGTCAGCCAAGCAGGGAAGTCCAACTCCAGGTCCTGCAGCCCAGGGATTCGGGACTCCCAGGTGCACGGCCATCTGCAGTCGCCCTTTGCATTGTGGGGGATTTTTAATCTGTTGGCCAGATGGAGGGTCGGAATAAATGGTTCTGGCAGTAACCAGACACCTGAGGTGGGAGGACAGCATGGAGGACGGTCTGTGGAAAAGCCTGTCCTGAGTAAGCAGGTGCAAACTCCCTCAGGACAAGAGAAGGGAGCTGTCTTGCAACACATACACGAACTCTTTGTCACTGTGAAATCCTTGCAGAATGCATTTGAGCTGAAACAAAATCCTCCTAAAGAGTACATTAATAGTCCTCATGAGGCCTTTCACAGCTAAGAACCTCCACCTGGTCCTAAACTGCATGCAGGGGAAGGAAAGAAGGGCAGGCCTTGCTTCAGAGTTTTACAGCCAGGGAAACAGAAATGGGGAGGAAGTGCAGGGCTGCCAGGGAAACGGAGACTTGGAGGAGGGCTAGTACTGCCTTAGGCTTAGAGGATGAGGACATCAGAGCAGATGCCTAGGCCCCTGTTCTCAATGCTATCCTAGGACCCATACATTGCCTCCCTTGGGGATAGGAAGGATTTTGTGCCAGAGGATGCAGCTCAAGAAACCTTATCTCGGGGTGGAAGTGGGGCAGGATTGCATCCCATGCAATAACAGGGCTAAGGCAGAAGAGAACCTGAAGCCTGCACTGAGCACCTCTGAGATGAAATCGCTGTGCACTGGGTTTAAATAGGGATGACACCAGGATCGTCCCTATTTAAGCAACATTCAGGGGAGATGAGTGAAGATGGGCCTGAAAAATGAGTCCAATAATGTTCTCAACAATAAATATTTACTAAGGGCAACCCATGTGCTAAGTACTGGGCTAGATGCCAGGAACAAGAGAGATCCTGACCTAGGTGAGGGAAAGAGACAGGGTAGCTACTTGGGCACAAAGGTTATATTTTATTTATCTCTGTATTATTCATGCCTGGCACTCAGCATATGGTTATTGAAAGCAATGACTTAATGACTTAATAAATTAACTGAAGCAGGTCTGGCTATCAGTGGGCACTCCATGTCTATTTCTAAACAAATGAATGTGTTGCTTCTACAAAGGACTCTGTGTACAAGATCTCTGGGAAGAAAGGTGGCAGATAACATAGGCGAGATGATGGAGGTTTGGAAAGAAAAGAATGTGGCAAGGATCAAGGCAAATAGTATGAGGAAAAAGAAAGAAATGTTGAAACTAGGGGCAGAGAAAAGCTAGAGAGGAAAAGAAATGTAATCATGGCATAGTGCATACTTATTCTGGGGTCAACAGTAGTTCAGGGTCATAAAAGCCTAGACATTATATTAGGAAGATGGAAGAGAAGAGCTGAGAAGCGTCAGTGTGTGAAAGAGTTACCTACCATTGCGGAAAATAAATAGATAATGTCCAAAATTGGTAAGTGAAGAAAAAGCACTAGAAGTTTATGTTTCGGGCATATGAAGGACAAAGAGTTAAAACGCGGTGGCTCTTGCCTGTAAACCCAGCAGTTTGGGAGGCCGAGGCGGACAGATCACGAGGTCAGGAGATCGAGAGCATCCTGGCTAACACGGTGAAACCCCGTCACTACTAAAAACACAAAAAATTAGCTGGGTGTGGTGGCGGGCGCCTGTAGTCTCGCTACTCGGGAGGCTGAGGCAGGAGAATGGCATGAACCCGGGAGGCAGAGCTTGCAGTTAGCCAAGATCGTGCCACCGCACTCTAGCCTGGGAGACAGAGAGACTCCATCTGGGGGCAGGGTGCAGGGAGCGGGGCGGAGGGGGGAGTGGTTACCCTCAGGCAAAAGGACAGGAGATGCCCTAAAAACTCCCCCGACTCTTTGGTTAGTCTGATTCCCTCCCCTGGCCCTAACAGCCTCCCCTGCTTAGATCCAAGTGGCAATAGGACCTGAGTCCCTTAGGCAGCCAACCCCACCCAAGCAGAAAGAAGAGACCAGGACATGAGCTGTAAAATGGAAAACAAGAACAGGCTTTTGAATAGAGAGGGATCGTGAGGCACCCCAGGCAGCTGTGAGGCTAACTTCCAAAGTCAGGATCTTTTAAAATGGTATTTGATTTTCTGGGTTGAATGGGACACTTCAACCAAATATAAAAATCTCTTCCTTGGGCAACAGCTGAAATAATGAAGGAAACCACAGGAGGGAGGAGGGGGTCAGGGCAGGATCAAAGCTAATCTCCTGGTTGCTCCTTGCTTAGATGGCTCGGTATGCCCCAGACCAATTCAGTCTCACGCTGCTCAAAGACAAGAAGAGGCTCTTAATAAAGAGAAGCATAACATAGAGGTAGAGAACAGAATGCCAGGGCTGGAACTGGTCTCAGCAACCATCTTGTCTGACTCCCCCTTTGCATGAAAAAGGGGGTGGTAAAGTTCAGTGGGATTGGGCCATCTGTCTAAGGGCAATAGAGGCAGACAGGACAGTCAGGGCAATGCTGTCAACAGACTTTGCATGTTCTGACTCCTGTCCACCTGTCTAGTTCTCTTTTCCCTGGCTACACCATTAACAAGAAAGATAAGCAGAACAACCATCTCTATAGTGAGCACTGGCTGAGAATCAGGAGACCTGGATTCCAGCCCCAGCTCCATAGAAAATCAATTGTTTAACCTTGGAAAAGTCACTTAACACTACCCTGAATTTTTTTACTTGTGGGCTAGATGGCATTTCAGGAGGTTCCGGTTCCACCCTCACAAGGCAGGTTCCAAGTTTGGAGAGAGAGATTTCATACTCATGTTATGCTCAAAAGGTCTAATTCAATACCTAGATCACCAAGGCGTACATATAGAAGCCCAGATTCCACAACTAAAGAATCAGGTTTTATACCTAGAGAGGCAGGATTCACATCAGGAGCTACTTTCCAACCCTGGAAAGTCAGGTTTCATAATTGGAAACCCAATTTCCATGTTTATAGAGCCAGGTTTTATGCGGAAGAGCAGAATATATATGCATAAAAAGGCAGGATTTACACCTAGGAGAGCTAAATATATCTCTGAAAGTCCATGTTTCATAAATGGAGTACAGGTTCCATGTTTATATGGTCAGGTTCAATGGCTGGGGATTGATATTCCATACACAGAGTGCCAGATTCCGTATCTGGGAGACCAGGTTCCATGCATGTAGAGTTGGCTTCTGTGACTCAAATGCCAGTTTCCATGCCCGGAGTTTTAGCTAGAGTGACAGATTCCACACTTGTAAGGGTATGTTCCATATTTGGAGATTGAGAATTCATATACACAGTACCAGTTTCCGTGTTTGTAGGGGTGGGGCTTATATGGACGTCCCAATTAATGAAATGCCTGCAAGTCTAGGTTTCATACATGGAGTGCAAGATTCCATGACGGTAAGGCCAGTTTTCATGGATGGAGTTTTGAGATTCCATACATATAATGCTAAGTTACTTGCTTTTAGGGCCAGGTCCCGTGGTTGAGTATTGAGGTTCTTATACAGTAAGTACCAATTTCAGCATTAGTAGTTCAAGTTTCACACTCAGAGACTGAGAGTTCATTCATGCATTGCCAGGTTCCATGCCTGGGGAAATAGGTTTTTAAGGCTTGGAGAGCCAACTTCTATGACTAAAACCCAAGGTTTCATGCCTGGAATGCCAGATTCCACATTTATAAGGCCACGTTATACTAGAAGATTGAGATTCCACACATGGGGTGCCATGTTGAATGCTCATAGGGCCAAGTTTCATGCTTTAAGTATATAGATTCTATGCTTGGAGATTGAAATTCCATAAATGCAGTACCAGATTCCATGTATGAACTGCAAGGTTAGATGATTATTGAAATCCATACATGCGGTGCCAGATTCTATGCTTGTAGGGCCAAATTCCATACCTAGATATTGAAGTATCATACATGGATTCCTGGGTTCCATACTTGTATGACCATGTTCCATGTTAGAGTTGAGATTCCAAACAGCTGGTGCCAGGTTCATGGTTTGGAGGCCAAGCTTCATGTTTTAGTGAGCAAACTTCTACAACTGAAACTCTAGGTTTCATGTCTGGGGTGACAGGTCACACACTTGTGAAGCCATGTTCCATGCTTAGAGTTAGAGATTTAATCCATTGAGTCCCAGTTCTGTGCTACTAGGGCCAGGTTCAATTTTTGGAGATTGAGTTTCCGTACATGGACTGCCAGTTTCCCTGTATGGGAAATGAGGTTCCTGATCTTGGAAAGCCAAGATCTATAATAAACATGCCAGGTGTCATGACTGGAGTGCCAGATTCCACACTTTTAAGGTCATGTTCCATGCTCAACACTGAGATTCCAAATATGAAATGTTAGGTTTTATGCTTGTGGGTCTGTTCCATGTTGAAGATTGAGATTCCACACATAGAGTGCCATGTCCCATGCTTGTAGGGCCAGATTTTATGCATGGATATTGTGATTCCATATGGAGTCCCTAGTTCTATGCCTGGCATAACAGATTCCATGCAAGGAAATCCAACTTCTGTGAATGGCACACAAGTTCTGTCTGTGCAATTTCAGGTTTCAGCCTATTACGATTTTCCATGCTTTGAGATTTTGATTCTGAATATGGATTGCTAGGTTCCATGCTTGTATAGTCAGGATCCATCCTTGGAGGTTGAGATTACAGTCATGGTGTGCCAGGTTCTATACCTGGAGGTAGAGTTTTACAAATGGAGGATGAAGTAATAGCTTGGAAGTTTACATTTCCACACTCTGCAAGACAGGTTTTACCTATAGATGGTAAAGTTCTTGCAATAGTTAATTTTATGTGTCAACTTGACTGAGCTAAGGAATGCCCAGATAGCTGGTAAAACATTATTTCTGGGTGTATCTGTGAGGGCATTTCTGGAAGAGGTTAACATTTAAATTGATAGACTGAGTAAAGAAGACCATTGTCATCAATGTGGGTGGGCATCGTCCAATCCACAACGGCCCAATAGAACACAAAGGTTAAGAAAAGACAAAGTTGCTCTCTCTTATTGAGCTGGAACATCCATTTTCTCCTGCCCTTAGACACTGGAGCTTCTGCTTCTCTGGCCTTTGGACTCTGGGACTTAAATATATATCCTATTGGTTCTGTTTCTCTGGGGAATTCTAACTAATACAAATCCCAACATGAAGAGTAAGATTCCACTTCTGTAGATCAGGATTCATTACTTTCTTGGCCATATTTCATGCCTAGAAATACAGATTCCATAGTTGGAATGTCAAATTCTAGGCCTAATGCCCACCACATTGTATAATTGGAGGTCCAGATGATTGCCTTATGATTCGGGTTCTATAGAACATGTTTCATGATGGCTAATCCTTATTTTATACTTGGAAGTCCGGGTTCCATATTTGGAGAGTAAGATTCCAGGCCTGGATGGTGAGATTCAATACCTGGTAGGCCAGATGACATTAAGTTTCTACCCAAATTCCACAGAAGGCCAGGCCAGGTTACAAACTGAAAGAGAGAAATTTCACACAGTTTACAATGCATGCCATGCTTAAAGCCTAATTTCATGTCTACATGGCCTGAATCCACACATAAAAGCACTGGTTCCACACCTACTGTGCAGATTACATGCTGGTAAACCAGTTTCCGTGCTTGGAGAACCAAATTCTGTGACAGAAGTGCCACGCTCCATATCTGAAGCTCCAGTCTCTTTGTGTGTATGGTCATGTTCCATGCTTGAACATTAAGATTCAGGTTCATACTTGGAAGGCCAGTCTCCACGCTTAGAGATTGAGATTCTACACATGGCGTGCTAAGTTCCAGTTTTATTAGTGGAGTCTGAAATTACCTTGATATTTACCTTTCTGCTCACAGAAAATCAGATTTTTTCCCATTTTAGGCCAAGTTCCTTACTTGGAGAACCAGATTCCTCTTCTACAGATCAGTTCTCATGAATGCAAGGTCTTGTTTCCTACTTAAAATTCCAAGTTCCATACTTGGAAGGTGAGATTTTGTGTCAAGTTGGCTAGATTCCATACCTGGTGGGCCAGGTGACATGCCATGAGATTCGGGTTCCAACCTAGAAGGTCAGGTTCCAAGCCTGGAGAGAGGGATTTCTCACAGGCTCCCATGGCATGCCTGGAAGTCCTAATTCCATGCCTAAAAGGTCAAGTTCCATATCTAAAAGTAAAGGTTTCAATCCTAGAGTGTCATATGTAATGCCTGGGGAAGATCACAACTGGGGAGACTCTTCATGGCTAGACATTCAGAATCCATGTGGGAAGGCCAGGTTCCATGTTTTAAGGGCCACATTCTACATAGAAGGAGCAAGTATTTATGCTTAGAAGTCTAGGTGTCATGGCCAGAGGTTCAAGTTCCATGCCTGTAGGGTTGGGGCTCATGGATTTCTACATTATATACTTGGAAAGGTAGACTTCACATCTAAAACACGTAAATCAGTTCCAGCTTTCCTACATGGAATGCCATATTACATGCTTTTGGGGCCAGATTCCCTGCTCAGAGGTTGAGATTTCTTTCATGGAATGCCAAGTTCCATGACTGTTGCATGTTTCCAGTCTTGGATATTCTTGGATTCTATACATGAAGTGCCATCTTCCATGCATGGGGAGCACCAGGTTTCATGTCTTGGGCGACCAACTTCTATGACTGAGACACAAGCTTAA
The DNA here is from genome assembly GCF_000001405.40 of Homo sapiens. Lineage (NCBI taxonomy): Eukaryota > Metazoa > Chordata > Mammalia > Primates > Hominidae > Homo > Homo sapiens. The sequence continues at coordinate 206,150,533 of NC_000001.11, forward strand.
TGTCTGGAGTGCCAAGCAATATACTTATTAAGCCATGTTCCATATGGGGAGATTGAGATTCCACATATTGTGTTCCATTCCATTCCTGAAAGTTTAAATTTCATGCTTGGAGATAGAGATCCTTACATGGGGTGTCAGGTTCCATGCTCTTAGGGTCAGAATCCATTCTGGAAATTGAGATTCCATACATGGAGTGCCAGATTTCATGCTTGTAGAGCCAACTTCCATGTTTGGATATTGGGATTCCACACATAGAGTGGCAGATTCTGTGCCTGGAGGCATGGTTTTACCAATGGAGAGTCAATTCAGTGCCTGGAAGGCTACATTTCTACTCAGAAATTCAGGTTTTACCCACAGATGGCCAAGTTCCCAAAGTGGAGAGCCATATTACATTTCTTTGAATCAGGTTTCATGCTCATAACTCCATGTTTCATCTCTAGAAGTACAGATTCCATACTCGGAGGGTCATGGAACACCTGGAAGATGGCCAGGTTCCATACCTGATGGGCCAGACGCCATGACTTGCGGTTCAGGTTCAACCCACGGAAGACCATGATCCAACTTAGACAAAGAGGTTTCATAAAGCAGTAACTTATGGCATGCCTAGAAGGCCTGATTCCATGCTAGCGGCCCAGGATCCACATATAGAAGCCCAGGTTCCACACACACACATGTCGTATTTTATGCCTGGAAAGGAAGGATTCACACCTGGAGAGATATTCCATGTTTGGAAAGTCAGATTTTATATATGGAGGGACAGGTTCTGTGTTTAAAGGGATACATTTTATACCTGTGTTGCAAGTTTTCATGCTTAGAGGCCTAGGTTCAATGCTTGGAGGTCCAGCCACTGGACCTGTACAGTGGCTTCTCATGTGGAGGACCAGATTGTATGCTTGGAAAAGGAGAAATAACACCAAGAAGACCTAAATCAGTTCCTGAAAGTTCAGAGTTCATATAGGACTTCAGGTTCTGTGTTTGGAGATTGAGATTTCACATATGGATTGTCAGTTTCCAGCCTTGGAGAACAGGTTCCATATCTTAGATTTTTTAGAGAATCAATTTTCAATTTCCTAAATTCCAAAGGTACTCTTTTTTTTTTTTTTTTTTTTTTTTCAGACCGCGTCTTGCTCTGCTGCCCAGGCTGGAGTGCAGTAGCGTGATCTCGGCTCACTGCAAGCTCCGCCTCCTGGGTTCACGCCGTTCTCCTGCCTCAGCCTCCTGAGTAGCTGGGACTACAGGCGCCCGCCACCATGCCCGGCTAATTTTTTTTTTTTTTTTTAGTAGAGACGGGGTTTCGCCATGTTAGCCAGGATGGTCTCGATCTCCTGACCTCATGATCCGCCTGCCTTGGCCTCCCAAAGTGCTGGGATTACAGGTGTGAGCCACCGTGCCCAGCCTTTTTTTTTTTTTTTTTTTCCGAGACGGAGTCTCCCTCTATTGCCCAGGCTGGAGTGCTGCAGTGCAATGGCGCAATCTCAGCTCACTGCAACCTCCGCCTCCCGGGTTCAAGCAATTCTTCCGCCTCAGCCTCTCGAGTAGCTGGGACTACAGGCGTGTGCCACCACACCCAGCTAATTTTTTTGTATTTTTAGTAGAGACAGGGTTTCACCATGTTGGCCAGGCTTGTCTCTAATTCCTGACCTCATGATCCGCCCACCTTGGCCTCCCAAAGTGCTAGAATTACAGGCGTGAGCCTCTGCGCCCAGCCTGTTTCTTAAAATTAATATGTCTTATTGCATATGTGAGGTCAAGGTGTCATACTGTCTCATCATTTCCACCTCCTCTTTCACAATTCCCATTCTCCATTTTATTAAAAATGAATGAATGAATAAATGATTATCACATGTTTAAGGCTTCCTGAATTTAATTATGGGGCATTCCACTGGGGTGTAATTACCTGCAGCATGATATTGTAGAACAACTCAATATATGGAAGCCTCCTTTAGTCAAGAAATTGTAATCCTACACTAAGGCTACATGTTTTTGTCTTTATATTTTTGATAAGGGTGCAGCATAATATAGAAACAAGGTATTTGGGGACATCCTGAATTCATGTATATTGAGGAGTGAAGTGGCAGGAATTATGGCAAATTTTGTTGAAGGGTCTTGCCTTTTGCATTGCCTAATTATGATCAAATAATGCATTGCTACTATAGGAGAGTTCTGAGAGGGCAAAGTAGAGAGGCTCAGTACAAAATACAGAACTTACCAGAGCTCATTCCATCCTGGAGACAAACTTATGACAAGACTCTGTGCCTTATCCACCTCCCTGCCTCCTTTCCTTCCTGTCTTTTTATCCATCTTAGAATTAAGATATTTAAATTTTGTCTGAAGCATGTCAGAGAATAACAACATGCTATAAAATTTCACTTGTGTTCACCCATGTGTCAGCTGAGTATTTTGCATTGTTACATTTTTATTTTACTGTATTTTATTTTATTTTTTTTTGAAATGGGGTCTAGCTATGTTGCAAACTCCTGGCCTCAAACTCCTGGGCGCAAGCAATCCTCCTGCCTTAGCCTCCCAAAATGCTAGGATTACAGGTGTGAGCCACTATGCCCTGCCTATTTTGCATTATTTCAAAGAGAAGGTGAGGTCACACATTTACTTCCAACAGATCAACATTATATCTTCAAGTTAGCAAAAGCAATTGAAAGTAGGTAGTGGCATTCTATATTTCCATAAATGCTCCTTTAGACTTGTAAAAAAATTGTCATTAATTTTGGCCAAAAGCTTATTGATGTCATAAAACCATACTCAGTTTTTACTTGGACACATTCTCCTGCTGTTCCTCATCAACCACTTTGTGGGTTTAGTCATTCAAAGTATGTACTTACTAGATTTAGATTAATTCAATGGAGATATGTTGTGAATTCAACTGAAAATAATGCACTTAAATAATAATTACTGTATCTTTTGTAATCAGCACACTTACCAGAGCTTCAACACCTGCCTTTCCTTTTGCTATTTATTTCCACAAGATAGATTAAACTACATTTTTAACAGTAGAACATTTACTTATGTAGAACAAAATGTTCCTAAGCTGTAAACTACTGTGTAATGACCTGAACACTCTAGAAAGCCAGCTTCATTACATTTGTTTTGGGAGTGCGCACATAAAATGTTGAAGGACCACTGTATTAAAAGGCTATTAGCATAATCTCTAGGAGACACAACCAGAAAACCAAGCATAGAGGCTGAGCAGCCAGAACCAATACTGCTACCGCTGTCCCTGCCACTCAACACAGGCCGAATAGTGGGCAGGGATGCTATGCCAAGCCCCTGCCTTGATTCTCTCTGGAAACTGGATGTATCTTTGCTGCCTCTCTGCTGTCACCTGAAGGGATTCCCTCAGGACCCCGTCTTCATGACTTCAGTCTTCCACACTGAAATCACATGCAGGAGCACTGATTGGTGGAGTCTGTGCCACAATTTTTCCTCACTTCAAGGGAATCTGGGAAAATTTGGCCTCTATTTTCAAAAGGCAGACTCACTAGATGGGAGAGTCCCAAATATAAAGAGTATTCAAAGCAACTAGAGAGCTTAGAAAAAAAAAAAAGAATGACAAATGCTATCACACAAAGTATATAATAACACATGATTTTAAAAACAAATATTTTCTTTAATTCATTACATGATCGAGGATTGCATTTATGATGTTCATTTTACTCTAATGCTTTACTATAACACTGAGCCAGTTTTATGTTTCTCCCCATTCAAAAAATGATGCATGCTCCTCAAATTTACTTTAAATTAATTGCATGAAAAAGGATGATTAGTCAATAAATAAGTCTTGAAAAGACATATTCTATAGTGTTCGGTTTGGGGTTTTCATATTAAAATACACATTGAAATTTACTACATGATATAACAAGAAAAAAACTACTTTCAAGGCCTGATATTTGATTCTTCTATCTTGTATTTGAGAAACCAATGTATTTTACAGATTTTTACAAAACAAAGTAGACATTAATTCCACTTTTAGGGATGTAAATCCCCCAGGGTAACATGGTAAACCTGTCACGGATCATGACCCACTGGATAGGAAACACTGTTTTACTATTCTCTGGGAGGTATGTGAATCTCAACTTCCTGTTGCTTCCTGAATCTACTTGTGACACAGTCACAACTGGAGTGGCAGTAGCTAATCCCGGACTGTCCCTGCTGCTTGAGATCATCTAATCAGTCACTCCTCCACCTCATCTTTGTCTGTTTGATGTTGAAATTGTATTACATGCTTGAACTGATCAGCAATTAGATGGCTAGAGACCATTTTGACTGGCTGCCTCCCAGTCCTGCAATAAAACACAACAAAACTGTAAAACTAACCCAACCCAAGAAACCAGAGAACTAACCCAACCCAAGAAACCAGAGGACTCCCTGCGCAAGAAATCCACACTGGCCCTAGAGTGTCCCACGCAGGTTTGAACAGCAACCCTGGACCTGTGCCGCAAACTCAAGTGCAAGGGGACTCCGGTGGACCCTGTAATGGCCTATCTGATTTGGCTTCTCATTTACAGAGAATGGAGACTTTACACACCACAATGTATTATTTGCTTAAAGGTGCTTAGAAAGAACAACCTGAAACCTTTTAATCTTATTTGTTCATGTAGAAATGAAACCGTTGAGACCTTATCTTAATGCATATAGTATTCCAGTTGTAATCAGCAACCTTTTAGTTAAAGGAAAGTAACAGCAGGTTGAGATTGTTACTTTTCCTTTTACCAACCCATCAAATGGAGACAAGGGACTAGATTAAATACTAAAACAGGGAACTAATCTTTCAGCAGCCCTATAGGAGTTAGAAGCAAAGGCTCCTGGGCCGGGCATGATGGCTAATGCTTATAATCCCAGCACTTTGGGAGGCTAAGACGGGTGGATCATTTGAGGTCAGGAGTTCAAGACCAGCCCGGCCAACATGATGAAACCCCATCTCTATTGAAAATACAAAAAATTAGCCAGGCATGGTGGTGCAGGCCTGTAATTCCAACTACTCGGGAGGCTGAGGCAGGAGAATCGCTTGAGCCTGGGAGGCGGAGGTTGCGGTGAGTCGATATCTCGCCATTGTACTCTAGTCTGGGTGTCAGAGTGAGACCCTCTTTTTTTTTTGAGAAAAAAAAAAAAAAGAAGCAGCGGAGGCTCCTGCTGTTGAATAGACACCCTTTGAGGCAATGAATGACACATGTTAGCAAGGAGCCCATCTTATCTACGACTCATCCTCAAAAGGTCCCCAACCTGAAGCAGCCAGTGCCTGTGGTGGTGTAGATGGTGTCTGGAAAGGCTGAGAGGACCTCACTTCTTTCACTCACCAAATTGTGTACCTGTAATCCCAGCACCTTGGGGTGCCAAGACAGGAGGATCCCTTAAGGCCAAGAGTTCGAGACCAGCCTGGGCAACAAAGTGAGACCTTGTCTCTATAAAAAATCAGAAAATTAGCCAGGTGTGGTGGCAGGTGCCTGTGGTCCCAGCTACACAGGAGGCTGAGGCAGGAGAATCACTTGAGCATAGAGGTCGAGGTTGCAGTGAGCCATGATTGCACCACTGCCCTCCAGCCTGGGTAACATAGCAAGATCCTGTCTTTAAAAAAAAAAAAAAAAGATTCGAAGATCTTTGAACATTATAAAGAACATTACAATGGAATGTTATAGTATTAGTATTGTTGATATTTTAAAACCCAGGAGCTGTTAGCTCCTCCTCTCTGGCCTCTTAATCATAAATCCCTGTCCCTTCTCTATTGGGTTACAAGTCAACTGAGGCACCAGCATGTAAGCCTCATCTATACTTACTCAACTAATTCAGACAGGTCTAGGCCTGTAGGGGGTGGCGTGGGGTGCAGTCTGGGTGCAGGGGAGAGATGGACCCACCAGGGAGAGCTAATTATATCACAAGTAGAGGAACCTGTGGGAAGAGTATAGTGTTGGACATGTGGGTGCTGCTTTATAACCTCTTCATTTCTCAAATTCCTCAAGGAGAACCTACATTAAGGGGTGACCAACCAGCTGAACAATTCCCTTTGCTGTCAATCTATGACAAGGGGTAAAACATGACTAGTGCACTAAAATATCACTGGAAATAGAACTTCAAAGACGAAAATTTTTTTAAATCAGAAATCTCACAGAGAGTACTCAATAGGGTTGGAGTAAATACCTTGATGAGCCACTTGGGGATGGGGGTGGAAGGTAAGACCCCAAGGGGTATGCCTGGGTGACAACAGATGGTCCTTCTAAAAAGGATAGTCAAGTGAACTATGAGGCTATTGTTTTGGAGAGAGGTTGTAAGTTTGGGGCCAGAGTTAAAGCCCCTTGGATTTTGGAGGCTGTGCAGCTGATGGTCCTCCTCTTTATCCTTTTTCTACAGGGCACTGAGGAACTATTTAAAGAAAATACAACCCAAGTATCTGCAGGTCTCATTCTGGTCCAGCCCCAAAGCAGTGTTAGCTGCAGGGGAAGGCCTTACCCTGAGGAGAGGGAGATAGGATGTACCAGCTGATGTGGGGGAGTGAGGACACAGGATTAGAGGGGAGTGGATACTGTGAATTGCACCTAGAAACAACAGCGCTAGGGCAGGCTTCTTCCCCTTGAACTATGCTTCCATTAGGGGAAGAATGCATAAAATGAGTAAAATAAAAGCTGCAGACCAGGCATGGTGGCTCATGCCTATAATCCCTGCACTTTGGGAGGCCATATTGTACGGATTGCTTGAGCCCAGGAGTTGAAGACCAGCCCTGGCAATGTAGCAAGATCCTGTGTCTACAAATAATAATTTAAAAAAATTAGCCTGGCATAGTGACACATGCCTACGGTCCCAGTTACTCAAGAGGTTAAGGCAGGAGGATTGCCTAAGCCCAGGAGGTTAAAGCTGCAGTGAGCCATGATCATGCCACTATACTCCAGCCTAGGGGACAGAGTGAGACCCTGTCTCAATTAAAAAAAAAAAAAAAAGGTATATTCCCTGGGCCAGGTTTTCTCTCTCTGTTTATCTGGCTAACTCAAATTTAACCTTTAGGGTTGAGATTAGATCTTACTTCTCCCAGGAAGCCTTTTCTGATCTCCTAAGTCTGCATTAGATGTCATTCCTCTGTGCTCCGACAGATCCTGTATTTCCCCCATCATCACAGCATTTACAGTGTGCATTGTCATTGCTTGGTTACAAGGCAATTTCCTTTGCTAGTCTATAACTTCCATGGGGTAGGGACCATGTCTGTAGTTCACTGTCGTTTGGTGCCAAACAAAGTACCTGATACCTGGTAGGCACTCAATTATTTGTTGTTTGAATGAAATAATAAAGGCACAAGAATAGTGCTGCCATGTACCTAAAAGAGGTGGAAAATTTTCATGGTGGAGGGTGGCTCCCTGAGGCCAGGCCTTGGTATAGAGGCTGATGGACAGAACAGTAGCTCGTGGATTTCGGGGGCAGTGATGGCTTCAGACAGCCTGATACGTTAGGAGGAGAGAGGATACCAAAACAGCACCTTCAAAGTCAGGAGCTACATGGAAACAGAATGGAAGACATCAGCTAAAAGACACCCTAGGGACTTCTGCCTCTCCTCACCCTCTAGCAATATAAGTGGGGAAGGAGAAAGTCCCCAAATACAGTGATGCACCACTTAAAAATGCATTCTGAGAAGTGCATTGATAGGTGATTTTGTCATTGTGTGAACCTTATAGTATGTGCTTACACAAATGTAGATGGTGGAGCCTACTACACACCTAGCCTGTATGGCGTTGCTTATTGCTCCCAGGTGGCAAACACGTATAGCATGTTACTGTACTGAATACTGTAGGCAATTGTAATACAATGGTCAGTATTTGTGTATCCAAACATATCTAAACATAGAAAAGGTACAGTAAAAATATGGTATATGTGATATTTTGGTATACATATTGGCTTTCGTCCACAGCTCCTGACTCATAACTCCCATAGCCCTTGTTATATAATGTTGGGGTGCTACAGGCCTCAGAAAACAGAATGTCTGTCTCTCTGGCCTTCCGACCACCTCCTGCCCTCCTTTTTCTCCCCAAGGCAGGACTCTTCTCTCACCTCTCTTGGAGCTGACCATAAAGAAATTCTCTTACCTACCCTATCTGACTGTAGGTCATAAGAACCCCCAATTCAGAAGGAGTCCTGCCCCACACCCAGGAGGAACAAATGCTGCACAGAGATGCCAAGAAGAATCTGAACAGACAGGCCTTGCTGGGTTTCTCCACTCAGTCTATTAGTATTAGACCATACCCTTCTTGCCCATTTCTGCATGGTTGTCAATCATGACTACCCAATGAAGTCTCCACAAAGGCACAAGAGGACTGGGTACAGAGTATTTCCAGGTAGCTGAGCACATGGAGGTTTCTGGAGAGTGGCACACCCAAGCAGGGCATGGAAGCTCCGAGCCCCTTCCCCATACCTCGCCCTGTGCGTCTCTGCATCTGCATGCTTTGTGGTATTCTTTATAATATATAATTTTTTGTGTATTATAAAGAATATATAAATGTGTTTCCCTGAGTGCTGTGAACAGCACTGGCAAATTAATTGAGCCAAAAGAGGAGGATGTAGGAATCTCAACTTAAAGCCAGTTGGTCAGAAGTTCCAGAGGTCCAGACTTCTGACAGGTATGTGAAGTAGGGGCAGTCTTGGGGACTGTATGATCTGACACTATCTCCAGGTAGAGAGCATCAGAATGAATTGAACTGGAGGACACCAAGCTAGCGTGTCTGTAGAATCGACTGCTTGCTTGGTGGTGGCGAGAAACCGCCATACATTTGGTCTCAGGAGTCTTTTGTGGTTGTGATGTGAGAGGAGAGTAACAACAGTTTTTGTTTTTTCCACTAAGTATAAAAGATAAAAACGTATACTCCTGTATAGGGCACTTACCATAAATAGAGTTTGCAGGACTCAACGCTGTTCTGGGTGAGTCAGTGAGTGAGTGGTGAGTGAATGTGAAGGGCTAGGACATTACTATACACTACTGTGGACTTTATAAACACTCTATACTTAGGCTACACTAAATTTAACACATTTTTTTCTTTAATAAGAAATTAATCTCAGCTTACTGTAAATTTTTTACTTTATAAACTTTTTAATTTTTTAAACTTTTTGACTCTTTTGTAATAACACTTAGCTTAAACACAAACACATTGTACAGCTGTACAAAAATATTTTCTCTGTTTATATCTTTATTCTATAAGCTTTACTCTATTATCTTAAATTTTTAATTTTTTCTTTTTTTTTTGTTAAAAACTAGGACACAAAGACACACATTAGCTTAGGCCTACACAGGGTCAGGATCATCAATATCACTGTCTTCCACCTCCACATCTTGTCCCACTCGGAGGTCTTTAGGGACAATACCATGCATAGAGCTGTCATCTCCTATGATTACAATGCCTTCTTCTGGAATACTTCCTGAAGGACCTCCCAGAGGCTGTTTAACAGTTACCTTTTTTTTTTCAATAAGTAGGAGTACACTCTAAAACAACAAAATATATAGTAAATACATAAACCAGTAACATGGTCATTTATTATCATTCTCAAGTATTATGTACTGTATATAACTGTATGTGCTAGACTCTTATATGACTGGCAGCAAGTGGGTCTGTTTATACTGGGCATCACCATAAACACATAAGTAATGCATTGTGCTAGGACTTTATGACAGCTACATGGTTATTAGGCTACAGGAATTTTTCAGCTCCGTGATAATCTTCTGGGACCCCATCATATATGTGGTCCATTTGGCTGAAATGTCACTATGCAGTGCTTGACTATAATCCTGCTTGCAGCATTTTGTACCCCAACCATACCCTCAGGATGATATGCCTGGAGAAATGCCAGTCACACCTGGCCGTACCACCCACAGTCTTGGTTCATGTTCTCATCATCACAGTTGCATTAGATGCCTTAATGATCACCCTCCTCTATTTGGGCCATGGAGCCCTTTGAGAATCCAACAATAACTCTGAACCTCTCCACAGAAGAATCACATGGTCACACAAGCACAAAATTTTACATATAACAGACAACCCTTAAAAGCTAATCTACAGACCCTAGCTCTCATCTTAATCTTTTCTAAATTTTTCTCCATAGCGCTGCCAGGGTGAACTTGAAAAATAAATTTTATTGCATTGTTGGATTTTTATTAACTTCAGGGAAGACTTCAAGCTCCCTAGTAAAGTACATGAGACACCTCCCACATACTGCTCACGTTCCTTACCTACCTTTTTTACTCCATCACTGCTACAGCAATGAGCTGGTGTGACCCATTTCTTTGGAGAAATGTCTGCTCAGATCCTTTGCCCATTCTTTTTGGTTCCCAAGTTTTATTCAAGAATTCATTCAAAATATTCCAGATAAATAAAATTTAATCCTCATCTTTCTCTTCTTCTTTGTCCTGGTTAATTTGGAAATAACGTAATTCATAACTCTCTTTACTGTTAGCAACTATGCACAACCAATCACATAGATTATTGTTCTTCAAATATTTTTTGGTGAGATATTTCAAATACCTTCTGGAAAAAGGCACTTCCGGTGTTACGGTAAGCTTGCTCTTGCTCCTTTCGATGGTCACCACTCCTCCAAGATTCACAGCTTTTCTGTTCACTTTGATCCTCTCTTGCAAAAACTGCTCAAAATTGGTAGAATGGCGGCATCCATGATTCCATCTTCTATGGGGTGGATGCAATCAAGAGTGAACTTCAGAACCTGCTTCTTTTTTGCCCCCTTTCACCACAAGCTTTTTCACGGGCGCCATGGTGGCAGTGGAGGCAGAAAAGCCCTTTGCCCATTTTTAAAATTGGGTTATTTGTTCTACTGCTATTGAGTTGTAAGAGTTCCTTATATTTTTTGGATATTAATTCCTTATCAGATATGTGGTTTGCAATTATATTTTCCTAGTCCATAGGTTGCTTTTCAAGTTTGTTGATTGTTTCCTCTCCTGTGCAGAATTTTTTAGTTTGATGTAGTCCCTTTATTTATTTTTGTTTTTGTAGTCTGAGCTTCTGATGTGATATTAAGAAAAAGAAAAATCAGGCCGGGCGCAGTGGCTCACACCTGTAATCTCAGCACTTTGGGAGGTCAAGGCGGGTGGATCATTTGAGGTCAATAGTTCGAGACCAGCCTGGCCAACATGGTGAAACCCCATCTCTACTAAAAATACAAAAATTAGCCAGGCGTGGTGGCACATGCCTGTAGTCCCAGCTACTCGAGAGGCTGAGACAGGAGAATTGCTTGAACCCGGGAGGCAGAAGTTGCAGTGAACCAAGATTGCGCCACTGCACTCCAGCCTGGGTGACAGAACGAGAGATTCCGTTTCAAAAAACAATCATTGTCAAGGCAAATGTCGAGAGGTTTTTCCCCTGTGTTCTCTTCTAGGAGTTTTATGGTTTCAGGTCCACAGTACACTGTTAGTGGGAATGTAGATTGGTACAGTCATTATAGGAAACAGTATGGAGGTTCCTAAATAAATTAAAAATGGAACTACCATATGATGCAGTAATCCCTTTCCTGAGTATATTCCCAAAGGAGAGGAAATTATCACCTTGTAAACATGTCTGCACTCCCCTGTTCATTGTTATGTTATTCACAATAGCCAAGATAAGGAAACAAACTAAGTGCCCATTGACATTTAGGATGGATAAAGAAAATGGGTTTTGTGGTGTACATACAAGGTATTTTCAAAAAGTTCATGGAAAGTCTGTATTATAAAAAAAAAACAAAAAACTATGTGGCCGGGCGCGGTGGCTCAGGCCTGTAATCTCAGCACTTTGGGAGGTCGAGGCGGGCGGATCATGAGGTCAGGAGATCGAGACTATCCTGGCTAACACGGTGAAACAATGTCTCTACTAAAAAATACAAAAAAAATTAGCCGGGCGTGATGGCGAGTGCCTGTAGTCCCAGCTACTCCGGAGGCTGAGGCAGGAGAATGGCGTGAACCCGGGAGGCGGAGCTTGCAGTGAGCCGAGTTCGCGCCACTGCACTCCAGCCTGGGCGACAGAGCAAGACTCCGTCTCAAAAAAAAAAAACAAAAACAAAAAAACAAACAAAGAAAGAAAACACTATGTATGGATTTCAAAATTGTTCACAACAAAATAAACTAGTACTAACTTGTTTATAACATGTCTGGTCAGGATCTAGTTAGAGACACTAAGGACAACACATCAGTTTGAAAAGAGTCCCCTGTCGGAGCAACATGAATTCTGCTAAAATTGAAGCAAGAACAAGCATCAAATGTATGGTGAAGCTTTTGTGAAAGAATGATCAAATCACTGATTCTTTACAAAAAGTTTATGGAAACAATCCCCAAAGAAATCAGCAGTTTACAAATGGATAACTTGTTTTAAAAACAGATGAGGCAATGTTGAAGATGAAGCCCATAGTGGCAGACCATCCACATCAATTTTCAAGGGAAAAATTAATCTTGTTCATGCCCTAATTGAAGAGAATTGATGACTAACAGCAAAAACAATAGCCAACACCAGAGACATCTCAACTGGTTCCACTTACGTAAATCTGACTGAAAAATTCAAGTTGAATAAACTTTCCACGCAATGGGTGCCAAAACCGTTGCACCCAGATCAGCTGCAGGCAAGAGCAGAGCTTTCAATCCAAATTTTAAAGAAGTGACATCAAGCTCCTAAAGCAAAACAATTGTAATGGGAGATGAAACATGGCTTTACAGGTACGATCTTGAAGACAAAGCCCAAAGCAATGGCCACCAAGAGGTGGAAATGGTCGAGTCAAAGCAAAAGTGCATTGGTCAAAAGAAAAGGTCATGACAACAGTTTTGTGGGATGCTCAAGGCATTTTGCTTGTTGGCATTCTGAAGGGCCAAAGAACAGTAACATCTGCATATTATGAGAGTGTTTTGAGAAAGTTAGCCAAAGCTTTAGCAGAAAATTCCCTGGGAAAGCTTCACCATAGAGTCCTTCTCCACCATGGCAATGTCCCTGCTCATTTCTCTCATCAAACAAGGATAATCTTTTTAGAGTTTCATTGGGAAATCATTAGGCATCCACCTTACAGTCCTGATTTGGCTTCTTCTGACATTTTTTGGTTTCCTATTCTTAAAAAAACCCTATAAGGTACACCCATTTTTCTTCAGTTAATAATGTAAAAACGACTGCATTGATGTGGTTAAATTCCCAAGACCCTCAGTTCTTCAGAGATGGACTAAATGGCTGGTATCATTGCTTTCAAAAGCATCTTGAACTTGATGGAGATTATGTTGAGAAATAGTTTATATTTTCAATTTTTATCTTTTAATTCCATTTTTCCGTGAACCTTTTGAAGCTCCCCCCATACAATGGAATATTATGCAGTCTTAAAAAAAGAAAAGGAGACCCTGTCATTTGCCACAACATGGGTGGACTTGGAGGACATTAGGCTAAGTGAAATAATCCAGATACAGAGAGAAAAACATTGCATGACCTCACTTATACATGGCATTTTAAAAAGAGCTCAAATACACAGAGAGAATGAAACGGTGGTTACCATGATTGGGTGGTGGGGAGAGGAAATGAGGCACTGTAAGTCAAAGGATACGAAATATGAAAAGTCTCCACATCTAAGGTCCAACATGAAGACTAAAGTTAAAAAAAACTGTATCATATTGGGAATTTGTGTTAAATAAGTAGATTTTAGCTGCCCTTGTCACAAAAAAGTAACTATTTGAGATGATAGAAACATTAATCTGCTTCATAACTGTAACCATATTACTATTTATATGTATCCCATAACATTGTGCTGTAAACCTCAAGTATACACAATTTAAAAAATTTTTTGGCTGAGCACAGTGGCTCACGCCTGTAATCCCAGAACTTTGGGAGGCCGAGGTGGGTGGATCACCTGAGGTCAGGAGTTCGAGACCAACCTGATCAACATGGCGAAACCCCGTCTCTACTAAAAATACAAAAATTAGCCAGGCATAGTGGCGCACGCCTGTAATCCCAGCTATTCAGAGGCTGAGGCAGGGGAATCGTTTGAACCCTGGAGTTGGAGGTTGCAGTGAGCTGAGATTGCGCCATTGCACCCCAGCCTGGGCAACAAGAGTGAAACTACATCTCAAAAAAAACAAAAGATTTTTTTTTTAAATGACCTCTCCCCAATTTTCATTACCTGACCTTCCTCTAGGATCTCATGGTCCTGGGCTCCCCTCTTCATAGCACTTACTGCTGAGCTGTAAATATCCATTTATCTGTTGCCTCCCTCACTGGACTGTAAAATTCTTGAGGCAGAACCAGTAGGTTTTATCTATTTATCCTTCTCAAGCCTAGGACAGTGCCTGAGACCTTGAAACTCGGTGATTGTTGGTTGACAGGTTGAATGAGTGATCTATGAGATTTCTGAATCAAGCCTGGTGCATTTAATCTTTGGGTCTTGATAACATCTGGATCTGAATGAATCTGGGGGAAAGTCTAATTGAGCTTGATTTCCCTGTGACCTGCAGAGGCAGGAGTCCCAGCTTGACTGGTAGAGTGGGTGGGGAAGGCCTCTTCTACAGCACAGCCATAAAAAATCTGGAATTGTGACACTTTCCCCTAATGGGCCTCCTGGGACTTTACATGTCCTGTTGTGGGGAGTTGATTTTAACACAGAATCTGTCAATGCTTTATCCTTTTCAGGTCCAGCTTCATAAAAATATTCAAGAAATCATGTCTTCTGATTTTGCTTGATGATCCCTCTTGGGAGCCATATTTGAAAGGTTACAGTTTGCATTTTCGACATTAAAGTTTACTTTTTAATTTTTAAAAAAGTTACAAAGATGTAGGACGTTTGGCTTCTTCAATACTTATTTGCTAGAAGACTTTGGGCAAGTTACCTAAACTCTCTGGGCTTCAATGTCCTCCCATACATGTAAGCTAAATGTTCCAGGGCCACCTATGCCCATGGGTAACAGGCCAGCACAAGAATATGCTGACCAATTGATTCCTGGCTGCATAACCACAGAATCTCCTCTGTTATTTCTAGGTGCCTAGAGGAAGTCTCTCATAGATGCTCACGTTCTCTCGACAAGATATTTGGGGAGGACCCCTGGCTACTGTCACTGCTGCCATGCCTGCCAGGAGGAGGCACCTTCCTGACACTTCACTGCTGCTGCTCAGCAGGCCTGCCAAGTGGTTCTGCTGTGTTCTAGGAGAAACAGGAAAAATGCCTCTCCTCCCACTTTGCACTGTGCTTTGTCACCTGGGCCCTAAAACACCATTGCCTGCCCCTGACGCCCCAACAGCTCCCTCTACCAAACTGAGGCTGGGCTGGGAGACTAGGCACCACACCATTCCATTCTCCCTTCTCTTCTTCCATTCTCCCTTCCCTCCCTCTCTTCTTCCCACTGCCTCCAAGACACCTGTACTGGAACTTTGTCCATTCTTACACTCACACACACACACATGCACATGCATATGTGCACACACAAAAGTCTCTTGTCCATCAGATCATACAAATATATGCTTGGGACAGGGGTGATCACATGCCCCACATGCCCAGTGGACATTTAGGCTCAGATAGGACAATTCTTTCACAAGGATGACAAAACCTACCTTCCGTGGTTGCTGTGAGAACAAGAAATTGTACATACAGTGCCCATTCTGCAGCAAACCCAACAATGAATTAAAATCCACAATAGGACATGCGGTGGCTCACGCCTGTAATCCCAGTACTTTGGGGGGCCGAGGCAGGCGGATCACGAGATCAGGAGATCGAGACCATCCTGGCCAACACGGTGAAACCCCGTCTCTATTAAAAATATAAAAAATTAGCCAGGTATGGTGGCAGGCGCCTGTAGTCCCAGCTACTTGGGAGGCTGAGGCAGGAGAATGGCGTGAACCCAGGAGGCGAAGCTTGCAGTGAGCCGAGATCGTGCCACTGCACTCCAGCCTGGGCGACAGAGCAAGACTCCATCTCAAAAAAAAAAAAAAAAAAAATTCCAGAATATATAGAGAGCACCTTAAGAGTCAATAAGAAAAAAAGACAAACCAATATACAAAAAGTGAGCAAAAGATATCAACAATTAATTGAAAATACAAATAACCAATAAAAATATGAAAATATATTCTTAATCTTATTAAGTACGCAGGTAAAGACAAATTAAAACAATGAAATACCAATTTTTATTCATCAGATTGGCCGAAACTAAAGCCTGAAAATATAAAGTGTCCATCTTGCTGTGTGTAAATGGGAAATCTGAATCTGATGGTGGAGGCGTAAATTGGACAGCTTTTTGAAAAGAATGATTTAGCAGTATCTATTACAATGAAAAACATAGATACCTTTGCCTCAGTAAGTTTACCTCCAGGTGTGTATCCTAAAGAAATATTTAGAAATGTACCTCCAAGAGACATGTACAAGGAAGTTCCCTTACGCATTGTTTGTAAAAGTAAAACAGTGATGATCTCAATGCCCACTGATAGGGGAAAGGTTTAATTCACCATGATTCATAAATACAGAGAAATTCTATATAAAGTGGAATAGATTTGTGTGGCATGGAAGGATCGCCAAAAAGTATTTTAAGATTAAAAAAAAAGTAAAAAATATGTGCAGAATTATGCCTTTTTTTCATAGAAAAAAGTCTAGGGGATTCACTGCTCAGCAGGCCATCCTGGCTATCTGGGCATAACCACCACCCAGAGTGTAATTTCTTCTAAGGCAATCACCCAAGTCTTTCACATTTTATACCTTCACAGCCCTCACAAAAACTACTACATAATAAACACTAAACAAATGCCTATGAAAGGCAAGAAGGACGTAAGAGAGGGAAAGAAGCAAAGAAATGAACAATCGTAGCACCTGAGGCCGGATTAAAGAAAGGAAAAAAGCTTGTATGGGTCTTTTCATATTGACAAAGCTTTAGTGGAACACTCTTTTGGTGGGTTTTCAAGGGATCAGAACGTTTGGACAGAAAACAGAAAAATACAGACATAAAGAAGAGACCTAAATATATAAGCATAGCATTGGGAAAAAGCCTTTTCAGAACTGCAACTCATGCCTTATTCGAACATGTTCTGAACAAGGTCTCTTATCCAAAGTTGTTTCTGGCTTCAGACAGCAGGTGGCAGCAGAATCAAGCTTTCTGGTTGCAGAAACTTCTGGAGCCAGCCAGCTGTATAAAGTTTCAAATGGTTTTCGGAGGAGAAGCAGCTTTTGAGTAAAAACCTTTAATCTAAAAATCTAAACTCGACACAAAACAAAAACAAAACAGAGTGAGGAGCTGGTGCCATTGGCCCCTGCCACGACAGATCCTGATGTCATTCCCTGCCTGCCATCTACAGAGCCACACCTTGTCCTTCGAAGAAATTCTGGGATTTCTACTGGCAGCGGCCAGGAAAGGAACCCAAGGTTGGTCTGTCCTGTTCTGACGTTGTCCTTGTCACATGTGGAAGCTGGTTCGCCAGGAAACAGGCTCTGGTCAAGGCTGGGCTCACTGGAGAGGTCAGCCCAAACTCAAAACTCATTTATGGGTAAAGGAAGCGTTTTTTAAAAGGAGACTTTGCAGGCAACAAAAAGAAATATAGTATTGATATATGCCACAATGTGGATGAACCTCAAAAACATCATGTTAAGTCAAAGAAATCAGTCACAAAAAGACCACATAACGCATGAAACCATTTATAGGAAATCTTCAGAATAGGCAAATCTAAAGACAGAAAATAGATTAGTGGTTGTCTAGGGCTCAGGAGGTGGTGACTGGGGAATGACTGCTAATGAGTACACAATTTCTTTGGGGAGTGATGAAAATATTCTATAATTAGATTACAGTGATGATGCACAATTCTTTAAATATACTTAAAAACCATTGAGTTGTACGCTTTAAATGTGTGAACTTTATGGTATGTAAGTTATCTCAATAAAGCTATTAAAAAAGGAAAAAAAAAAGGGCCCAGCACTTTGGGAGGCTGAGGCTGGAGGATTGCTTGAAACCAGGATTTCAAGACCAGCCTGGACAACATAGTGAGACCCCCCATCTCTACAAAAAATAAAAACTAGCTGGGCATGGTGGCTCATGCTTGTATTCCTGGCTACTCTGGAGGCTGAGGCTAGAGGACTGCTTGAGCCCAGGAGTTCGAAGACACAGTGAACTATGATTGTGCTACTGCACTTCAGTCTGGGATAACCATTCAATGCTGGGGGGGTGGGGAGAGAGAGAGAGAGAGAGTCTATGCAGTTGCTACAGAAAAGAATTGGAGATTGGTTAGAGATATGACAGGTACATTGATGAATTTTACTTTTTGATCAGATTGTGATATGATGGTAGCATAATTCGCTTCCTGATTTGGTCACACACACTTCCTATCCCTAAGAACTGCAAATACTTACCTGAAAGAGTGGATGAGGTGCGTTGCCATCTCACTTTTTTAGGGGATGGTGCTCTCCCTGGAAAGAAGGCAATAACAGGCCAGTGAAATGGCAGACATCTGAAGTCACACAGACGTGGTTTCAAATTCCGGTTCTTCCTCTTATTAGCTATGAGCCGTCAGCTTCTTTTCCATACCCACATCTCAAGGTTAAGTAAGAATTATAACATAAAATATAAAAGTGCCCAACCCAGAGTAAACTTGAAATTTATTTAATATTCTTGGAATTTCCATCCTGACCAGTAAGATGACATTTTATCTCAAAACACAGCTGTATCATGTTTTGCTATTGGTACACCTCTAAAGATCTTCTCCACCGCCCTCTGCCCCCACCCCAAGTCCATGTGCCATGAATAACCTTACTTATTATCACTTTTTACAACGATGAGCAGCCTCTGAGAATGGAAAAATAAGTCAATGGTAATACTGTGTTAGGAAGGATCTGAGTAGGAGGGAACCTGTCCCCTGGCTACCAGAAACACAGGACTAGACCCAGTAATACACACCTAGAATATAAGCCTGGATAACAACAGTGCAGGGGAAACACTGTCCTCACCAGGATAGCTTTTATATGCAAGAATTTAGGTATTATAATCAGAAACATTTCTAGAAACTATGAAATATTAGGGAAAAAAGCCAACACATTAGCCAACATTGTACTTTACATTTATGCAAATTTTAAACTCTATAGGAACCTCCTAGTAGCTTTGGGGGAAAATAATACTCTGTGCATCGTGTAATGGATAAGAAAATGAGTTAAAGGGCCGGGTGCGGTGGCTCATGCCTGTAATCCCAGCACTTTGGAAGGCCGAGGCGGGTGGATCACCTGAGGTCAGGCGTTCGAGACCAGCCTGACCAACATGGTGAAAACCTGCCTCCACTAAAAACACAAAATTAGCTGGGGGTGGTGGTGCATGCCTGTAATCCCAGCTACTTAGGAGGCTGAGGCAGGAGAATTGCTTGAACCTGAGAGGCGGAGGTTGCAATGAGCTGAGATCGCACCCTTGCACTCCAGCCTGGGCAACAACAGCAAAAACTCCACCTCAAAAAAAAAAAAAAAGAAAAGAAAAGAAAATGAGCTAAGGAGCTAGGCTGCCTTATTTCACAACCTTGGCTCTGTCTCCTATGAAACCAGGGCAACTATTTAACCCCTCCGTGTCTGAGTTTCCTCATGTATAAATGAAGGGAGCAATAGTACCTAGCTTATAAGGCCATTATAAGGATTCTAAAAGTTAATCTAAAGTGCTTAGGACAGTGTATGGCATAGAGCAAGCACTCAGTAAATCCATTCATTCAATAAATGTTTATTGAATATAGGTGTGGCTGCTGTTTTGGCTGATGAGTATACTAAAGTCAGTGAAACAGACGAAATCTGTGGAGCTTTCTTCCTTGGGGGAGGAGGCCAACAACAACAACGAATACACACAGAGGAAGAGCAATGGAATGAATTGTGTTCCCTCCCCTCCCAAATTCATATGTTGAAGCCCTAACTGCCAACGTGATGGTATCTGGAGATGGGGCATTTGGGAAATAATTAGATTTAGAAGAGATCATGAAGGTGGGAGACTCGTGATGGGGATTAGTGCCCTTTTAAGAAGAGAAAGAGTCAGGTGCAGTGGCTCTTGCCTGTAATCTCAGCACTTTGGGAGGCCAAAGCAGGAGGATCGCTTGAGCCCAGAGTTTGAGACCAGCCTGGGCAACATGGTGAGACGCCATCTCTATAAAAATAAAAATAAAAAATTAGCCCAGTGTGGTGGCACACACCCATAGTCTCAGCTACTTGGGAGGCTGAGGCGGGAGGTTGAGGCTGCAGTGAGCTATGGTTCTCATCAGTGCACTCCAGCATGGGTGACAGAGCAAGACTGTCTCAAAATGAAAGAAAAAACAAGAGAGAGAGAGAGATACACCAGGGCTCTCTCTATGTCCTGTGAGGACACAGCAAGAAGGCAGCTGACTGCAAGCCAGGAAGAGAGCCCTTACCAGGAACTGAAGCTGTCAGCACCTTTATCTTGGACTTCCCAACCTACAGAACTGTGAGAACTAAATGTGTGTTGTTTAACAGACATTTTGTCTATGGTATTTTGTTTGTTGTTGGTATTTGTTGATATTTTGGTATTGGTGTGTTGTTTGTTGGTATTTTGCTATCAGCAACCCGGCAGACTAATATAGATTTATATGTAAACATATATTTGAATAGGAACCCTGCAGAAGCCACATAGCTGGTTTTACTGATGCAAAGAGCCCTATGCTACAGTATGATGAGGTGAAGGGCTTACATTTCCCTTTCAGCAGTGGTATCCACTCTCCACAGCGTAGACTTGGAGAAGCCACTTGACTCTCATCTTAGATTCCTGCATCTGTAAAATGATGAACTAGATGATACCCAAAATTTTAGATTCTATCCATCTTATGGTTGGAATAACAGCCCACCTTCTAGGTCAATTACACACACAGGTGTGCTGATGCTTAGGGTGGCAGAGAGGGTGTCCCACAAGTAGACACTGATTATCCTAACTGTAACTTTCAAATGGAAAATTAATTAAATCTCTAAATTTGGATTTGGCTTCCTAGTTAGCACTGTTTCCTTCCTGGAAAAGAAATAGTTATGTGTCAGACAGAACAGCCCCCTCTGATCATTTTTTTCCTTCTTCCTTGCATTATTGTTAGCTCTGACTGTGCAGCTCTCCTGGTGTCTCTCCCTTTCTAGATAACAGCCTAGAAAAAGGAGCTTATGGTTTCCCTGAGGTTCTTTTGATAAATGGCTGACATTTGATTGAACCATTCTCATTTCACTTATTTTTCACTTTCACAGAAAAACTGTAGTAGGTATAACAGCACAAGGTAATCATTTTTAAATTATTCAGACATTTTTAAAAATTTGATTCTGCTTCTCTCACCTCTGAAAGATGTTACTGGGGTGTCTTGGTTGCAAAGATTCATTCAAGTTCTTTTGCTTTTGGATTCTCCATATTCTCTGAGGAAGTGACTGCATCTAAGACTGTGTCCAAGGAAGCATCTTATCACTTTCATCCTTTGATCCCTGAGTGCCTTTCACTACCAGATATACTAAAACAAAAATCTTCTCTTAGCTCCCTGGTGCAGTGGAGTTGAGGGATAACCACAAAGAATTCAGAGTACATCACATAACGGAACTGTCAGGAAGCTTTTGATGGCAGAAACATATTTTCCTGGTGATGAGATTAGAAGGATCTTCATATAACCATCAGATATATTATTGTCACTTCTGAACAATGCTTTTTATAGCAGATTGTTTCTCAAAAAGGAAATAGAAATGCGATTTTAAAATATGAAAAATATGTTCAATCTCATTATTAAGATAAATGCAAATACAAATTATAAGAGGACTTAACAGATTGGCAAACATCAGAAAAGTGAGCAACCTCCTCCGCTGGCATTCTTTTTTTTTTTTTTGAGATGGAGTTTCACTCTTGTTGCCCAGGCTAGAGTGCAGTGGTACGATCTCAGCTCACTGTAACCTCCACCTTCCAGTTTCAAGCGATTCTTCTGACTCAGCCTCCCGAGTAGCTGGGATTACAGGCTCCTGCCACCACACCCGACTAATTTTTGTATTTTCAGTAGAGATGGGGTTTCACCATGTTGGCCAGGCTTGTCTTAAACTCCTGACCTCATGATCCGCCCGCCTTGGCCTCGGGAGTATAATTTGCTGTATGGAGGGCAATTTGACAGTATCTATCAGATTTTATAATGTACAGAGCCTTGAATTCAGTAATTCTACTTTTAGGAACTTATCCCACAGATATTCCAGACATGCTCAAAGATGTAGGTACAAAGATTTTATTGCAGTATTATTTGTAAGAGTAAAAAACCAGTCCATGAGGAAGACTAGTTCGATAAGTTAATAATCTAGAATATATCGATATAATGGAATACTATCAAAGAACAATTTTCACAATGTATTGTTAAGAGGGGGAAGGTACAGAAACATATGTAAGGAGTTTCATTTGTTTAATATACAATTAGTGACACAGGTTGCATCTGGGGAGGAAAATTAGGGAACAATTTTTTGTTGTACACCTTTATCTTTCATTGTATCTCTTTCAAAACCTTTTGTACCATTTGTGTGTATTGTGTATTTTAAAAATTAATTTAAATTTCAACAACCGTTATAGTGATGCAAAAAACCCTATAGAAATAACAGTTTACATTCAATTTTGCTATATGTCAGGTACTGATTTTTCAACCACAACCTTGTAAGATACGTACTATTATCATCCCCACTTCACAGGGGGAAACCTGTGGTAGAGAGAGGCTGAATAACTTGTACAAGGATTCATACCTAATCAGTAGCAGAGCTCAGATTTGAACCCAGGCAGCCTGTTTCCAGAGACCATACTTTACCCACCATTCTATACTGCTCTGAGGTCACAGACCTCCATGATGAACTCTTAATTGAGTGCAGTCAATAGGAAACTCAGATAAACTCAGATGTACAAGAAATATCTCACTTCTTCATTTGCTTTTCACCTACTTAACTCTGACTCTGAGTCCCCATCCAGCTTGATTGGCAGAAATTGTAATCTCAGTCATTATTTGGACTCTCCACTGCAAGGGTTTTGCAAGGTCCTGGAATCTTACATGGCACCAAAGCCTGGCAGAGATCCTGCCAGTTGTCAATACATACTGGTTACCACTGACATGTCCATTGCAGTCCAGTACTCTCCTGCGGCCATGTGTAGTCCTACTCACCCTCACCCATAGACTGAAAACTTCCTTATATTCTTGGGAAATTTTCTCCTTTCCTTTTCCTGCTGCCTTCAAAGACATTGATAATACTATCTTCATTGAGTTCAGGTTTTATCTACAGACAGCTAGATCATTCTGCAAAATATCTCTAAGGTAAGAAATTACTAAGGGCCTACCTAACTCACTTAGATCAAAGGGGTAGAGAAAGTACGGAAAGTGGACAAAGAAATTAATATTTCAATAGATTATCCTGCCACAGAGTCATAGCCATGAAAAACAATAACTTTGGATTTGGAATTTACCTCCTACCTCAAGTTTCCCTCTGCAAGTGTTTGGACTTGCGTGTTATGGAATGATGATTGTAATGAACCATGCCTTCTATTGGTAGCAGATTTTGACTGAGATATAGGACAGTTAACAACTGCAGTTTGAATGCAAAGGCAGACAGAGTACACTTTGCACAAGGGACAAAGAACTGATAGGGAAACAAGGACAGTCTCCTTTTACACCTTAAAAATCCTCAAATAAGAACCTGGCTTCTGCTCAGCTAACCGACACATAAGTGCAGAAAAAAAGACAAGATTGGAATCCAAGGAAGGAAATGTTAGAATCCAAGGGCCAGGAATCAAAGAGAATATATTTAAATAGAAACCAGGTTGATACCAGAACTTTGGGATGCCTAGAGTAGGCGGGAAAAAGATGTATGATCTAAGCACAGGATATTTCGAATACAGGAGCTTGGATAAGAAGTCTATCCCAAATTCCATCTGCCACCAATGAAAGCAGAAAGGAAATATGTAATGAGAGCCAAGCCATGGGGAAATAGTCCAAGATGGGTGTGCCTCCTGTGTATTTAGTAATCATGTCCAGCTCAGCAAATCTGAGTTTCTTTATTCCTTGAGCTACTGTCCATTTTAATGAACAGGGAACATTTGATCTCAAGCAGCTTCAGAAACTCAATTTTCCCCCAGCCTTTGTCTAGGTTTTATAGAGGAAAAGGTATAGTTGCAGTACTGGTTGATATTTGCTTGTGAGAGCTCTTGGGCAGCTAATTCCTGATCCTTTGCTCCACCTAGTGGATTTCCAGGCTAGAGAGACTCTGGAAAAGAGATCAGTGATCAGAAGGGTGTACATTTGCTGATAAATGAGACTTACCAGTCAGTTTCTGGATTATCGTTTCTGGATTATCGTCCGTTTCTT
Organism: Homo sapiens; assembly: GCF_000001405.40. NCBI lineage: Eukaryota > Metazoa > Chordata > Mammalia > Primates > Hominidae > Homo > Homo sapiens. The sequence continues at coordinate 206,174,796 of NC_000001.11, forward strand.
TACTGACGATACCCGATTCCATCCCAAAGTGTCCTTGTTTGAATTGATTGAAATCTTTCATTTATTTCCATTAATGCCAGATGTGTAGCTGTAAGTCATCAAAATCTAATGCATTCCTTTTCTCTCTTCTTAATATATAAATAACATTATATAATCAGGAGACCCATATCAGCACAAGAAAGCATATTCTACTTATAATTATATCCTCTGAGGGCCAAACACACTCAAACCTCAACAGAGTCATTTAATTAAACAATGACCTACCTGCTTAACACTTTGGGGACTCCTTTGAACAATAATTGGTTAAAGAGTCATAGGACCCTTTCTCAAGAAGTTTCACATCCAATTATAAAAACAGATGAAATAACACTGGAAAGCAGGGCGACGCTGAAAAATTTCAGGTAGAAGAGAATTCAGAGCTGACTCTTACACAATATCCATATGTGGAGATAAAATTAGTGTTAATGTAGCTTTAAGCCATTAGAGTTACAACATAAATTTGACAATCTATGCTTACTTGCTGGCTGACCATGTCCCTGTCAGTTACCAGCCTTAAAGGCTACCAAGGCATTATTCTTTATTCCTTACCTATATTTAATACTTACTTTTTGTTATGGGTTGAATTGTGTCCCCCAAGTATTCATATGTTGAAGTGCTAACCCTCAGTCCCTCAGAATGTGACCTTATTTGGAGATAGGGTCTTTATAGAGGTAATCAAGTTAAAATGAGGTCATTAGGGCATCTCTACTCCAATATGCCTGCTATCCTTATAAAGAGGGGAAATTTGGAGACAGATGCTCACAAAGGAAGAACACCATATGAAGATGAAGATGGCCCTCTACAGGCCAAGGAGAGCAGCCTGGAATGGATTCCTTCCTCACTTCCCTCAGAAAGAACCAACTCTGCTAATACCTCGATCTTGGGTTCCCAGCCTCCAGAACTGTGAGAAGATAAATTTCTGTTGCTTAAGTCACCCAGTTTGAAGAACTTTGAATGGCAGCCCTAGTGAATTAGTTCAATTGCCTCTGGCAAATGAATAAGAAGCTCACTGCAAAAATGAAATTAATCCACCGAGTGCTAGAGTTGGACGGGATCTCAGAAAATGTATTGCACAATCCCCTTGTTTTGAAATAAATGCCCAAGGTCACACAGCAAGTTGGTGACTTAGTCACTCTTTTAGCTCAACTTTCAGTCCATCAATGTTCTATCACAGTCTGCCAACTATTTCAAAGATGGTGGCAAAATCAGCCAATGATGGTGATTAGATCCAAAACTTAGTTGCAAATAATTTTTCGGGGAACTATATGCAAGCATAGGTCCTTCCTAAATATTTGCTAATGGAAGCATGTGCTAAATAGGATGCCTACCAGAAGACTGATACCCAGCAGAATAGCTAGACAGGTAATTTGACCTCTGGCTGGGCCCGTAGGATTCATCATCCCTCCAGACAAGCACTTGGTTGTGGTAAAGATCTGGCTCTGGTTGGAAGCCTGCCCCATCCCACTGAGGGTGATTCACCAGAGCAACTTAATCATCTATGGATCAGAAGCTCAGGTTCATGTGAGCAGGGTGGGGGTTAAGGGAAAGAGAGTCTGAGTAATGCTTCACAGTGGGTGTGGGGACTTGTTATAATAGTAGGCACGCTGTTGATTAAAGTACATGACAGAAGTAATTGCCAGAGATCCCAAACCAGCCATCACCTAGCATTAGAGATGTATCTAATATCAGACAGAAAGCCTAGTTTCAACTCTGCAGCAGAGGCCTTTGAAAAGTCTCCAGAAGTAATTGGCACTTAATCAATGCAATCATTATTACAGCACATGGCTACTGCAGCTTCAGGCCCTCTTGCAACCACTGAACTGCAAAAGAGGAGACTATGTCTGTAGAATTTTACCACCAACACAACATTTGATTCACAATCTCAGACTAGATAGGAGTGAACATATTTTCATATTTATATATTTTAGAAATACAGGTTCACTGTCAATAAGAATTCAGTCTTGTATAAATGATGGTATAAACAGGGAGGGGCATTTTCCCTTTACAGAGGCTTAATCAGCATTAATTTTGAGAGATAGGAAAGCAAAATCTACAGCAGGCTGTTAAGCATTTGTTTTTCATCTAATCTTCTCAACCCTCCATTCAGTATTTGGGGGAGTATGACTGTTTATCACTTGCTGAGATATGCAAGGTGCACATGCTGCTTATAATTAAGGAACAAAGAAATGTTGACTTTGCTCTTGGTCTTGCTTCATAAAGTGTTACCACTGGGCATCAAATTGGGTGTTTAAAGGAGAATATACCTCTCTTGGAGAGTAGACACGATTTTTAGGCCTAGATCGTCTCTTCTTTTCCCCGCAGGAGTTCGTAGTTAACTTTCCATCACTCTGTAAAAGGCAATTGGAAAAAAGAAAAAGCCCAAGTTCCCCTCTTGGCATCTTGCAGAAGTCTTTCATGCATAATGGATGAGAGGAAATGGGGAGAAAGAAAAGAAACATCCTGAAATTTAAGCACCCGTAAATGTTTTCATAGATGTTGGTAGTTTATTTCAGTGTTTTTCAAAGGATATTCCCAGATTAACCACTTCAGGATAAGCTGCATTGTTGACAATGCAGATTGCCAGGCCTCAATATTAGACCTGAATCGGAATTTATGGGACTAGGACCCTGGAATCTACATTGTTAGCAAGTGTCTCCAGGGATTCCTGTATACACTGAAATGGAGCCTACTCATCTATCTTCCATAGTCTAAACAGTGCTGTGCTCAGTATCTCCCTCCCTACACCTCTCCCTTGTTAATCAAATCAAGTCTCTCATATTTAAATGTCTTTTTGTATGCAGATGGCTCTCAAATTTATATCTACAGCCCACACCTCTTCCCTAAAACTCCAGAATCCTATACCCTACTGCCTGATTGACATTTAATAGGCATATTCAAAAACAAACTCTTGAATTTTCTCTCCAAACTTGTCCTTCTTCATCTCCATAAATAGCACCATGATTACCATAAAACCTTGAAGTCACTGTTGACTGCATCCTTGGCATCTTCCTCACTTTCTCTCATATTCATTTCCAATCCATCAGAGTACTGTCAGCTCTACTTTCAAAATATGCCCCAAATCTTCCTCTATCTCGAAGACCAGATAGGAGGCTGCTATCAAAATATGATGTTTTGATTATATAATATATATTATATTATAGACTTGATATATTATATTGTATACTCACAGCTACACATTTGGCATTAGTGGAAATAAATGAAAGATTTCAATCAATTCAAACAAGGACACGTTGGGATGGAATAGGGTATCGTCAGTAAAGAAACTGACAATAATCCAGAAACGGGCTGGTAAGTCTCATTTATCAGCTAATGTACACACTTCTGATAGCAGCCTCTTATCTGGTCCCACTGCATGTTTTCTGTATCAGCCAGAGTTCATTTGCAGATAACAGAAGCCATTCTAGCTATTTGAAGCAGAAAAGGATTCAAAACAGTTGTGGTAGATTGATGTTACAAAAATCGTTCCTGTTTCACACACCTTTTTGCAATTGCCACAACTCCCATAAAGAGATGAAGTCTATTTTTCTCTTCTTGTAAATCTGGGCTAGCCCTCGGTTTAATTCTGACCAATGGAAAGAGGCAGAACTGATGCTGTGTCACTTCCAGACCTAGCCTTAAGAGGCTTTGCGGCTCCCACTCTCACCCTCTTAGAAGAAAGCAGCCATCCTGTAAGGAAGCTCAGGCTAGATTACTGAATGATGAGAGACCATAGGAGAGAGAGGTCTCAACATTTCAAGGCATCCCTGCCAAAATCCTAGACATGCGAGTGAGACAAAGTAGGGCCACTGACAGCTGAATACACCCACATATGTGGGGCCAGGCAGGATCAGCAGAATTGCCCAGCCAAACTAAGTTTTTGGGGTGCTTATTACACAGCAAGAGATAACTGAAATGTCACTAAATTTAGGGATTGCAAAACCATTGGAGGGTTGGTGGGGCAGGCTGTAAATGTGGCCTCCAGGAATGACTCACAGAATAACACCGCAGAACTGGCCTGTTAGAAGAATCGCTGCTCCTACCATAGTCTGGAAGCTAAGGATCAAGAAGCCATCAACCACTTTCTAGCTTCAGAAACACACTATCTTAGTCATGCTCTGGACATCAGGAAGTCTCCACAAGTCTGTTGGCTTCAGAATCATACCACAGATCAATTTTAGATAGCAAAATGGATAAAGTGCTGTGACCACCTTTTCCCCACTGAAGTTTGTTCTGAAATCAAGACTTATGCAAATGCATATAACTAGCAAAAAGTAAATTATATAAACCCCTAGCTGCAAGAGAATCTTTTTAGCTTTTTTATTTTTTATGTTTATTTTTTGTGGCAGGGTCTTGCTCTGTTGCCTAGGCTGGAATGCATTGGTGCAAACATGGCTCACTGCAGCCTTGAGCTTCTGGGCTCAGACCTTCCTCCCACCTTAGCCTCCCATGTAGTTGGGACCACATGTGCATCTCACCATGCCCCACTAATTTCTTGATTTTTTCTAGAGACTGGGGTCTCACTTTGTTGCCCTGAATGGTCTCGAACTCCTGGGCTCAAGCAATCCTCCTGTCTTGGACTCCCAAAGTGTGGTATTAACAGGCATGAGCTACTGCACCCAGCCCACTTTTAGCTTTTTGGCCTAGGCACTGTGGGAAGGCATAGAAGAAAGAATTTTTTTAAAAATGCTTTGTTCACTGCGTAACACTCACAATAGTGTTCACACAAAAGAGATGCTCATTAAATATTTGTTAAATGATTGAACTAAAGTTTGATAAAGCAAAGGCATAACTTAGAAATGACTGTCTCTAGTTCGCCCAAAGTATGAAATTCTGTATGCCTAAAACTCTCTTTCAGTAATTCTCTTTTATGAATATATTCTGGAATATCAAGAAAGATCTAGGATCCAGGATTTTTTTCAGCCCAATATTTACCATCTTTACTATAAGTGTACAACCATCCCAAGTCAGACAAGCTGAGTCTATTTGGTTTTTTTTTTGTAATAAATTTTAATTGGAAAAGATGAATTTGGGAGAATGGGAAGAAGGTTTTGAAGGGCAAGCCCTTCAATCATTTCTGCTTCCTATGGCTTTGGCCACCATCTCACTTTGAGGGCTTGTTCTTCAGGATACTGACAGCTTGATTTCTCTGGGTAATGTCACACAAAGGAAATTAGCTCAGTATGTCTTCTACTGAATTCCATCTGTAGCTCAATGTTTGAAGGTATTTGTGAACATGACTACAGAGCAATTTTGATAAGACAAGGCAATGTTCCAGTCTCTGAGAATATTTTCCCCAAAGAACTATTTTTTAAAATACCACTGAACAGCCTGAAAACCCACCCACACATGAGCAATCTCCTGCAATATACAGAAAGCTTTTCAGGTGTCACAGCCATAATAGCAGGTGGTTCCTTTGGGTAGAAAAATTATGGCAAGAATATAGCGACAGAAAGCAAACTGTTTTGATATTCTGGGTACAACTTTCCCCAAGTGAATCATTCCCATATGCCTACTTTTACCACGGGCGCCTTTCCAGAGGAAGTGATTTGTGTGAACGGAGGTGTAGAGATGCATTCTGGTGGGCACACTTCATTGGTGCCCATATTTAGCAGATCCAATTAATCGTCAGCTATTTGTCAACCCATTCCTCTGTAAGTCTCAAAATGCAAAATTCGAATATGAATTTGATACCTATTTTTGCTTTCCACATAACAAATACATAATCTTGTTATGAAGATTCAGTAGTGCTCATTTAAGGCAAGGCTGCTTCTGAAATTCCATATGAATAGATTTTTAAATACAAGCTTATAAAGAAGGCTGAGATTAGAGCAATTTGCAAAAGGCAGTCATTTAATTCACTTTTTATTATGAAATATTTGAGACATACAAATAGCTTAAAGAGCTTATTTACTCTGCTGTAAACTTTTGTTGCTTGTAAGATAAAAATCTGGACTTGTAAAAAAGACTTTGTTTCTAGATAGAACAGCAAAGTTGCAAAGTAAGAGTTTTGCCTAATTTTTTTCTTTCTCTATAGTGTATAAGACTAGCATTTTTATTGTTTACAGATAAACCAAATCTCCCTTACTGAAAAGGGAGATGTTGTTGTCCCCATCTCAATTTAAAACAAAAATCAACTAAGCTCTAATAGGAAAAGATGTGTACAGGAAGATTGCTAATGGAAAACTTTTATTTTTACATTTTATTTGTATTTAATTTTTAAATTTTTATTTGTTTTATTTATTTGAATGGAAGACAACTGCATTGAAAAATAAAAAGAACCGGGTACGGTGGCTCATGCCTGTAATCCCAGCACTTTGGGAGGCCGAGGTGGGTGGATCACTTGAGGTCAGGAGTTCAAGACCAGCTGGGCCAACATGGTGAAACCCCGTCTCTAGTAAAAATACAAAAAAATTAGCCGGGCATTGTGGCATGTGCCTGTAATCCCAGCTACTCAGGAGGCTGAGGCAGGAGAATTGCTTGAACTCAGGAGGTGGAGGTTGCAGTGAGCTCAGATCACGCCACTGCACTCCAGCCTGAGCAACAGAGCAAGACTCCATCTCAAAAAAAAAAAAAAAAAAAAAAAGGAAAGGAAAAAAAGAAAAAGAAAGCACAGTTATTAAGCTACTTAATTCTGGGCTTTCCAAATCTTAGAGTGGTGTCATTTGCTAGCTGGGTGACCACGAACAAGTTCTTTAACCTCTCTGTGCCTCAGTTTCCTGATCTCTATGGGGAGGATAGGATCCATCAGTTAGGGGTTACATGTGAAGCACTTGGAACAATGCCTGGCACACAGTAAGCCCTCTATCAATGGTAACTCATTTTCTTCTTTACCCTCAACTAGAAAGTCAGCTCCACATGACAGCAGCAATTCTGTCTTGCTTAGTTCTGTAGCCCCAGCATCTATTTTGCCCATAGTAGGCACTGAATAAATATTCGTTGAACTAACTGATTAATGAAAAATAACTGGGCTTTGAGGTTGAAAGTCAAAGGAAATTTCTCCTAAGTTTTACAGCTAGTGAGGGAAAAATGGACAGCAGTTTAGAGTCAGGGAGGTAGAAGAAAACCCTAAACTAAGATGAGAAGCCTGATTGAAGTTCAGATTCTTCCAACTCTCTGGGTATTGCAATCAGGATTTTATTTCTTAATTTGCTCATTTATTTATTTACTTATTATTATTATTTTTTGAGACAGGGTCTCATTTAGTTACCCAGGCTGGAATGCAGTGGCACAATCACAGCTCACTGCAGCCTTGATGTCCCAGCTCAAGTGATCCTTCCACCTCCGCCTCCTGAGTAGCTGGACTACAGGCACGCGCCACCACACCTGGCTAATTTTTAAAATTTTTGTAGACACTAGGCCTCACTTTGTTGCCCAGGCTGGTCTCAAACTCCTGGCCTCGGGTGATCCTCTGGCCTCAGCCTCTCAAAGTGTTGGGATTACGGACGTGAGCCACCATGCCTGGACTCTTTCTTAATTTGTAAAATGGGAATGATAGCTCCCAAGGTTATTCTGAGGAGTAAATGACACTGCATGTGAAAGCTCTTAATAAACTGTAAAGGAATATACAAAAGCATGATATAGTTAATTTCTATCTCAGTAAGTTTTTCCATTGGATGACAATAAAGGGATTCTTTGAGAGTGTTGGAAAAAGGAATCTTTAGCTAAAGATTTCGGTACTAAAAATATTCAACCCCAGAGGTACCACAGACATAGACTAATTTTTTCCATCTGTGCAGTTTAGGGTAGATTTGGCATACGCTCAATACCAGGCAAGAAAGAAACTATGGTTTAGGCTGCTTTTAAAGTTAAAAAAAAAAAAAGGCAGGAAAGGAAACTATTTCCTTTTATAAGCAGGAATGTTAAAATAGGGAAAGCTTTCATTGAGCAATTCACTACTGAATCAAGACTATTTGATCCATATTCTCACCTACCTCCCCTCACTCCGTATTTGTGTTGTGGTTAGTTGTCTTCTAGATCATGGTTTATATATCATGGTCACTTCCTCACTAAAGTTAAACAATATAGATTATTCTTAACCAGCCACATGTGACTCAGAGGTCAAAAGAGTGTTCTTTTTGGGTAATCTCTCTCAATTGCTAATATTTAAGGACCTGGTTTTCAGAACCATTGATTATTTAAAATGTATGTCTTTAAGATTAGGCTCCACCCAAGATGCCTCCTCAGAGGCTAAGTTTGAGGTTGAGAAACTAGCTTAAGGAGAAAGATAAAGTAGCAGAAATGTCATGGCGGGTGAGCTGATGACTCACTGCCCCTTCCTTGAACTGCAAGAATGACAAAATGGAAAAGGGGAAAAAAAAAAGGCAATGCCCTACTGCAGACTAGAGGCTCCATGAAACCCAAGAAATTCCGAGAACTTGAAGAACTACATGGGTTCTTAGGGTAAAGGCAGTAAGTTTAATTTCCGTGGTCAAATTGTTAAGTGCATCAAAGAAAGGACATTAGGAAAGCTAAACTTGATTATACTTTACCATCAGAGCCATCATCCTCAATCTGATCATTTTATTCTCCTGCTTAAAAACTTCAATAACTCCACATTGCTACTGGACCAAGTCTAAACTTACAATCGTATAGTAGAATATTCTTCATAACATATAACCTTCCTTGTTAACTTCACCTTGTAATTAATTCTTTTTTTAAAAAAAATTTATTTATTTTTTAACTTTTGAGACAGGGTCTCACTCTGTCACGCAGGCTGGAGCGGAGTGGTCCAATCATGGCTCACTGCAGCCTCAGCCTCCTAGGCTCAAGTGATCCTCCCGCCCCAGCCTCCCAAGTACCTGGGACTACAAGCCTGTGCCATCACCCTGGGCTTATTTTTGTATTTTTTGGTAGAGATGGGTTCCCACTATCTTGCCCAGGCTGGTCTCAAACTCCTGGCCTCAAGCAATCCTTCCTCCTCAGCCTCCCAAAGTGCTGGTATTATAGGTGTGGGTCACCATGCCTGGCCGAATTAATTTTTATTACATGTCTTGGAAGGTATGGGGGACAACTTAGAACTTCCCAAATAAGCAAGATACTTTTAAATTCCCGTCAATTTGTTTACACTATTCCCTCTGCTTAAAACTCTCATCCCAGCTGGCAACTCCTAACTGCTTCAAAGCCTGCCTCAAGTATCATTTCTTCTCAGTAGCTTTCTCAATTCCTATGCTCTCTTGCTCAACTCCCACTTTCTCCTGCTACTCAGAATGATTGCTCTTTCATCTCTGGAGTCATAGCACTTTAAGCATGCCTTTGTTAAATCACTTAACCCAATGAAATAAATGGACTCACAGAGTTCTATCCTTTCCTCAACTTACTGTGTACTCCCTGAAGGCAAGTGTGAGCATGTCATTGTACAATTCTTGCCACACTATTGGAGAATAATACAGGTGTGTTGAATTGAATGAAATATTAAAAGAGGACCAAAGAATAGATGGATCTTCTAGGCCTAGGAATTATACTAGGAGTAGAAGGTGTATCCTAAATCCATGTATGTGATTCTGCTTTGGTCTTACCAGAGTGAATGTAATTTGCTTTTATTTAAAAACAGTGTTGACAGGCCATGCACAGTGGCTCATGCCTGTAATCCCAGCACTTTGGGAGGCCAACGCGGGAGACCACCTGAGGTTAGGAGTTCGAGACCAGCCTAACCAACATGGAGAAACTCCATCTCTACTAAAAATACAAAATGAGCTGGGTGTGGTGGTACGTGCCTGTAATCCCAGCTACTTGGGAGGCTGAGGCTGGAGAATTGCTTGAACCTGGGAGGCAGAGGTTGTGGTGAGCCAAGATCACACCATTGCAGTCCAGCCTGGGCAACAAGAGTGAAACTGCATCTAAAAAAAAAAAATCCCAAAAACAGTGTTGGATTCACACTCATGCGTGTAATCCGAATACTTTGGGAGACCGAAGCTGGTGGATCACTTGAGGCCAAGAGTTCAAGACCAGGCTGGCCAACATGGCAAAACTCCTTCTACTAAAACTACAAAAATTAGCCAGGCATGGTGGTGCATGCCTGTAGTCCCAGCTACTCGGGGGTGCTGAGGCATGAGAATCGCTTGAACCCTGGAGGTGGAAGTTGCAGTGAGCTGAGATCATGTCACTGCACTCCAGCCTGGGTAACAGAGCGAGACCCTCTCTCAAAAACAAACAAACAAACAAACAAACAAACAAACAAAAAAAGCCCCACAAACCAGTGTCATTTAGCCAGGTGTGGTGCATGCCTGTGGTCCTAGCTACAGGGGAGGCTGAGGCAGGAGGATTGCTTGAGTCCAGGACTTCAAGGCTGTAGTGAGCTATGATCACACCACTGCACTCCAGCCTGGGCAACAAAGCGAGACCCTGTCTCTAAAGAAAACAACAACAACAACAAAAAACCCTCAAACCACACTAGTGTCATGAATATATTTCTTTAGATAAAACTTTATTAATCAGCTTTCTGTTTAGAATTGGCTTTCCCATAATCCAGTTAACCAAAGGTAGTTGAGTAATTTGAAATATTCCCCAGCTGGAGTAGAATCACATTTGGGGCTTGCTTCAATCAGTGCACCTCTGTCTTGCTTTTGCTTTTCAGAGAGACCCTAGGTCAACCATAGCCTTTGAAGGCATGAGCTGAACGGAAACCAGATGAACTCTATTGAATTTTAAATTTGCCACATTTCCTAGTCTAGTATTAAACTTTTCTTCTCTAGTTGAGCAAGTTAACCAAAGAAGTATATATATATTTTTTCTCTTATAGATTATGCTCACCTAAGAACTTGAGGTTACAACACACACACACACACACACACACACACCCAAAAAACCAAATCGCAAAACAAATTATTCCATACTCATTCCATTGGTTCTTTTGATGGCCTTCTGTCAGTGTTAATGGTTGGTGTGAAAGATTTTTGGAAACGTTTTCCAGGAGGGAGTAATAGCATTTCCTGAAGCACCTTTTATCTTGGTTTGTGGCAAATGATTCTTTCAATGCCCTCAGGTCACTTATACCCTAAGACCCTGCATGAGTTTATTCAACCTTCAAATCAGTCACTTCTGCCCTCATCTAGGGCACATAACAATGTAGTTAGTTACCCAGCAGGTATCCCGGCTAAGTAAGACCATAAATAAATCATATGAGCAGGAGCTTTTGGAGTCAGTCTTCTGTCTGAGCACCTCTAACCGGTTATGCTACCTTAAACAAATTACTTAACTTCTCTCTGTCTCACCTGATTTACCAGTTTAAAAAAAAAGGAATAATAATGGTACCTACCTCATAGGTTTGTTGTGAGGAGTTAAACGTCTAAAGCACTTAGAACAGTGTCTGGCATATGGTAAGTATTCAATAAACATTAGCCTTATATTCTATACTTTAAGTACTATTTATTTATATTTTTACATACAATATGTGGGCATAACAAAAAATTAAAGGAAGAATGGTCATTTTTAGAAAAAACTTTATTTACAAAACCACAACTCAGTCTGCTTTGGTATTGACAAAATCCCTACAACTGAGATATTAAAGAGATACATTTATTTTAGAGTTACATAAAACCAGAATCCAACACTACCCTACTTTCCTATTCCTTTGTGGCTCTGAATGCAGCTTTAAAAAAACAAAACAAAGCAAAGCAAAGCAAAACAAAACAGCTCTTTATAATGTACAATGGCTTAAGCAAATCGCTTTAGTTTTTTTTCTATTTAAGATTTAGGACAGACTACTCGTCTAAAATTCACTATTTACAGAGAAGGTCCTAGGGAACAGGATAACTTATTTAGGTTTAGCTCTCATAATACAATATCCATAATGGCTTTAGAAGAATGTAAATAAATAACATTGGTAAACAGCGTATACTGATATTTTCTGACAAACTCATTTATCTAACATCATGCTGAGCAATCAAGAGGATTCCTCTATATATTTTAAATTTTAATTTATTCTATTTCCTGATTCACAAACTCTTGCTCCATGTTAAAGCAGTTATCACCAATAGAACCTATGAGAACCAGTGCCCATGGAAACCTAACAGCTTGTTTTTTTAATCCCCTATTAAAACTCGGTTGAACTTGATATATGCATGGTTGAAATATGCGTGGGTACTAGGCCTTTATTCAGGAATGTAAAATTAATGGTATCTGGTATCAAGTTGTAAGAAAAACTCCCCCAGATTGGGAGGTAACTGAGTGATATGTGAAAGAATCTTCCCCTGTCTGAATTTAAGAATACACCTACACTGGGCAGAAAAAGGTCGGGGAGAGGAAGTAGAAGTAGAGGAAAAGCACAACTTCACTGGCTTCAATCAAACTGAGGTAACTAATTAGAGACGGAAAATAAATAAATCAACAAATGCCCCATTTTTGTTTTCCAAAAAAGATCACTGGCAACTAACAATTTTAAAGTTGATCCATTAATATATTTTTAAATAGAAAAAAGTTTGTATATCATATATATCATAATTCCATTTATCTAATACACTCCTCTGCTGAGATATTTAACACATCTTCATCTGTACTCTCTTCTATCTCTGGCAAGTTGCCCCAAAGTAGGACGTTTACACCTGAAAATAAAAAGTCATAAAATTCTTTAATGCTTACTACTGTTATAACTCAGAACACGAATTACGAAACTTTATATGTTAATATTCTTATGTAAACCATAGTGTTAGCAGTAAAAAGAGTAGCTATTGAAGAATGTACTGCAAATAAAATTACCTAATATTATCCATCTAGGACATAAACTTTATTTATTTATTTTGAGAGAAATTCTCTCTGTGTTGCCCAGGCTGGAGTGCCTGGTAGGATCACGGTTCACAATCACAGATCACTGCAGCCTGAACCTCCAGGGCTCAAGTGATCCTCCTACCTCAGCCTCCCAAGTCACTGGGACTACAGGCGTGTACTACCACACATGGCTAATTTTATTTTGTAGATACAGGTTCCCACTATGTTGCCCAGGCTAGTCTCAAACTCCTGGGCTCAAGCAATCCTCTCTCCTTGACCTCCCAAACTGTTGGGATTACAGGCATGAGCCACCATGCCTGGCAAACACTTTTTTTTAAAGGGCTAGGACATAAACATTCTTTAAATCCTTTTAAGCAAGGGCTTGAATTCTAGAATTTTACAGCTCAAAAGGCTCTCAGGAGTCCATTTACTCAAACTCTGCCTCCAGCTGCATTATAACATAATCACTATACACTGATAATTTTCTGATCTATTTTAATGATGTTTAAGAATGGAGATCTCACAAGATCCTTTTAGATTAAATGCCTCTTTGGAGGGTTCAGGGAGAAGTCCTGAATAAGTCTCCTCATCCCTTCAATAAGCAGAGAAGTAGCTGGTGCCATTTTTCTGATTCAGAAAAAAAGCAAGGGTTCGGAGCCAGTTATAATATGAACTGCAATCCTTGGTACCAGTGGGTTTCAGTCCACAGGCAGAGCTTTAAACTGAACTTTAGGGCCAGGTTGCAGCAGTCACTATAATAAACAAAAGAATAATCAAAAACTTCACTGAGAAAGAATAGTCAGATTTCATATTGAAGAATGAAGCACAGGTATACAGTAAATGACTAAACATACAGTAGAGGATAATGACAAGTTTATTACTCTGGGTATATATTACATTATTAGTTAAAAGCACTAAATGGAAAATAACTGACCTCTAGGATAGCCAATTAACTTCACAAGAAAAGCAAATCTTTTTTTTTTTCTTTTTGAGTCGGAGTCTCGCTCTATTGCCCAGGCTGGAGTCGAGTGGTGTAATCTTGGCTCACTGCAACCTCTGCCTCCCAGGTTCAAGTGATTCTCGTGCCTCAGCCTCCCGAGTAGCTGGGACTACAGGCGAATGCCACCATGCCTGGGTAATTTTTGTATTTTTAGTAGAGATGGGGTTTCACCACGTTGGTCAGGGTGGTCTTGAACTCCTGACCTCAGGTGATCCCCCTCGCCTCGGCCTCCCAAAGTGCTGGGATTACAGATGTGAGCCACCACACTTGGCCAGAAAAACAAATCTTAAGCTGTCCAGTTATCAGTGTGGACACAAAGAGGATCCAGCAATTCAGGATACCCACCCCATATACACTGAGATAGCAGCCACATGGCGGAATGGAATGAGCCAGGATTTGGAGATTTGGTTTGAATCCAGTGTTTACCACTGCTAGTACACCATGCATGGTTTTACTACAAATGCATGCAACATAGACAATATATATTACTGTTTAGTGGATTTAAATTTTGTATAGAATGTTATTACACTACATATTGTTTTCTAATTTGCTTTTTCACTCGTCATGTTTTTGAGGTTAATCCATGTTAACTTGTGTAGATTTCGCTCATTTATTTTTACTTCTGGACAGTATTCCATTTTGTGAATTTTTAAAAATGTTGCAAATACAGCCCATTGCTCATCCCTTCCTCAGCTGCCCATCTTGCATAGGTGGTTCAAGGCGACATGCACAGGGATGTGTAGTGTGACATTGTTGAAACAGTAGAAATAATTAACTGTTTACCTTGACTGAGGGAGATACTGGAATCTAATCTGGCAAGAATTTAGCATGTATCTGATGCTGGTAGGGATACAGATGTGTATCTTATTATTTTCTATAATCTTTTTGTGTTTGAATTGTTTATAATAGAAAACGCTACCCCACCCCCACCCCCACCCTAAGAATGAATGGTGTTCTGCTCCAGGTAAATGTCATGGAAGAGCTGACAGGAAGAACTGTAAGGAATTGCGAGGCAAAAATCAAAGTGAAAATTAGAACCCATAAATGTAAATGGAGGGCTGAAGCCATTTTGACTCTGAGGGCATTTGCCAATTTCAGGAAATTTGAGCTGAGGTTTCCCAAGGCTCCTCCAGAAAGTTCTGGGAAATCAGGTCTCTAAATGAAGACTAGCCTAGAAAACAGACCTCCAGGAGTCCTTTTCAGTTTAAACATTATAGAATTTATAAAGCTTGTCTATGCATTCCTTTGACACTGCTGGTTCAGGTGATTCAAGGACAGTTGTGGCGCCATTAGAAACTTGCTTTGATACCAAGCATCTAGAAAATCTTGCTTGAAATCACAATATTAGGGTTACAAAGCAGAAGCTTGATATTCTTGGAGTCAGTACTCAGAGACATGAAGCAGCTCAGCACAATTGGTTCAAAGGAGGAAAAATAAACTAAGAGATTGGATCTGACAGAAGCAGCACCTTCCTTTCTCTGTTAAGAAGGGAGGAAGGAAATCCTGTGATACATCTGTTTCTTATGGATTAGATTCAGTGCAAATGGAAGAATGCGGGGCTTTTATCTTTGAAAAATTGACCAATATTAAAAAGTAAATCAAACTTGAAAAATCTCCACCCTGTGTTTTGAATTCTGTAAAGCAGGAAAAATACTATCAAAGCAGAAACTTCCTTTAATGTGTCCCATGGGCAACACAAATATAAAACTGGAGGCTTAAATTAGGAGACTGTATCCCACTTATGGGAGTTCAGATAAGTCCTTACATGAAAATGGCCTTCTTAACATACCAAAGTTTTAAATTAAGACCCCATAAATGATAGATTGAGAGCCACAGTTGAGTCCCAGATAAAAAAATCAAATCTACAAAAATCTAAGCATAATTGGAGGATTTAAAGACCCTTGACAACCTAGCTTGCAATTCGTGATCTTTTGGTCTGTGAAGGCAAATCATATATTTAAAAAATACATTTAAGTTCTAAAGGAGACTAAAACTTGCATTTAGGAACCTAAGAATGCTAGTGTCAACTTAGATTGTCAAGTTACTTAAAGTCAGCTGGCGAGGTGTCTCAGGCCTGTAATCCCAGCCCTTTGGAGGCCAAGGTGGGCAGATCACTTGAGGACAGGAGTTCGAGACCAGCCTGGGCAAAATGGCAAAAACTGGTCTCTACGAAAAATACAAAAAATTAGACAGGGATGGTGGCACACACCTGTGGTCCCACCTATTGAGAAGGCTGAGGTGGAAGAATGGCTTGAGCCTGGGAGGTCGAGGCTGCAGTGAGCCAAGATTGTGCCACCACACTCCAGCCTGGGTGACAGAGCAAGACCCTGTCTCCAAAAAAAAAAAAAAAGTTCCTTAAAATCAACTTGGTCTGTTGTGTAAATAGATGTTAGACACGGAGAACATGTGTCTTATAACAAAACTCAATGGCTCCAGGCAATATAAAAAGTATTATATAAATCCCCTTTAAAAATTGGTACTTTGGCCGGTGCAGTGGCTCACACCTGTAATCCCAGCACTTTGGGAGGCTGAGGTGGGCGGATCACCTGAGGTCAGGAGGTCGAGACCAGCCTGGGCAACATGGCAAAACCCCGTCCCTACTAAAAATACAAAAATTAGCCAGGTGTAGTGGTGCGCACCTATAATCCCAGCCACTCAGAAGGCTGAGGCAGGAGAATCACTTGAACCCGGGAGGTGGAGGTTGCGGTGAGCCGAGATCACGCCACTGCTCTCCAGCCTGGGTGACAGAATGACTCCATCTCAAAAAAAAAAAAAAAAAAAGGTACTTCAGGCCAGGCATGGTGACTCACGTCTGTAATCCCATGTAATCCCAGCACTTTGGGAGGCTGAGGCAGGCGGATCCCCTGAGGTCAGGTGTTCAAGACCAGCCTGACCAACATGGTGAAACCCTGTCTCTACTAAAAATACAAAAAAATTAGCTGGGCGTATGCCTGTAATCTCGCTACTCGGGAGGCTGAGGCATGAGAATCGCTTGAACCTGGGAGGCAGAGGCTGCCATGAGCCAAGATGACACCATTGCACATCAGCCTGGGAAACAAGAGTGAAACTCTGTCTCAAAAAAAAAAAAAAAGAATTAGTATTTCAGTGCCTCAGCACCTTAACACAAGGAAAAAGAAATTTTTTTTTTTTTAAAAGAATTGGTAGTGTACTTTCTTACTAAAATATTATTTTTTTTTTTTTTTTTTTTTGAGACAGGGTCTCACTCTGTTGCCCAGGCTGGAGTGCAGCGGTGCCACCTCGGCTTACTGCAACCTCCACCTCCCAGGTTCAAGGGGGGTTTCATCATATTGGCCAGGCTGGTCTCGAACCCCTGACCTCAAGTGATCATTGGTCTTGGCCTCCCAAAGTGTGGGATTACAGGTGTGAGCCACCATGCCTGGCCTTGCTAAAATAATTAGTATAGGCATACCTCAATTGTGCTTTAGTTTATTGTACACCATAGATACTGGGCTTTATATAAATGGAAGGTTTTGGCAATCCTGCATTGAGTAAGTCTAACAGCATATGCTTACCTTGTGTCTGTTACATTTTGATAATTCTCTCAATATTTCAACCTTTTTCATTATTATTATATATATTATGGTGATCTGTGATCTTTGATGTTACTGTTATAATTGTTTCAGGGTGCTATGAACCACACCCACTTAAGACCACACCCACTTAAGACTGCAAACTTAATCGATAAATATTTTGTGTGTTCTGACTGCTCCACTGACCAGCTGTTCTCTCTCTCTTTCCTGGGGCCTCCCTATTTCCTAAGATACAACAATATTGAAATTGGGCCAGTTAATATCCCTACAATGACCTCTAAGTGTTCAAGTGAAAGAGAGTGGCATGTCTCTCACTGTAAATCAAAAGCTAGAAATGATTAAGCATAGTGAGGAAGACATATTGAAAGCTGAGACAGGCTGAAAGTTGGGCCTTTTATGCCCAATTGTTAGCCAACTTGTGACTGCAAAGAAAAGTTCTTAAAGGACATAAGAAGTGCTACTCCAGTGAAAACAAGAATAAAAAAGTGAAATAGCCTTATTGCTGATATGGAGAAAGTTTTAGTGACCTAGATAGAGGATTAAACCAGCCATGATATTCTCTTAAGCGAAAACCTAATCCAGAGCTAGGTCTTAACTCTCTGCAATTCTATGAAGGGCAAGAAAGTTGAGGAAACTGTAGAAGAAAGTTTGAAGCTAGCAGAGGTTGGTTTATAAAGTTTAAGGAAAGAAGCCATTTCTATAACATACAAGTTCAGGTGAAGCAAAAAGTGCAGATGTAGAAGCTGCAGCAAGTTATCCAGAAGATCTAGCTAAGATTATGGATGAAGGTGGCTACACTAAACAACAGATTTTTCTTTTCTTTTCTTTTCTTTTTTTTTTTTTGAGATGGAGTTTCACTTTTGTTGCCCAGGCTGGAGTGCAATGGCATGATCTTGGCTCACCGCAACCTCCGCCTCCCGGGTTCAAGCCATTCTCCTGCCTTAGCCTCCCAAGTAGCTGGGATTATAGGCATGCGCCACCATGCCCAGCTAATTTTGTATTTTTAGTAGAGACGGGGTTTCTCCATGTTGGTCAGGCTGGTCTCGAACTCCCAACCTCAGGTGATCTGCCCGCCTCGGCCTCCCAAACTGCTGGGATTACAGGCGTGAGCCACCGCGCCCGGCCTCTTATTCCTTTTTTTTTTTCAGATGGAGTTTCACTCTTGGTGCAATGGTGCGATCTCGGCTCACTTCAAACTCCACCTCCTGGGTTCAAGTGATTCTTCTGCCTCAGTCCCCCAAGTAGCTGGGCATGTACCACCACGCCCAGCTAATTTTTTATTTTTAGTAGAGGCAGAGTTCTACTATATTGGTCAGGCTGGTCTTAAACTCCTGACCTCAGGTGATCCATCCACCTCGGCCTCCCAAAGTCCTGGGATTATAGGCGTGAACCACTGCGTCCGGCAGAGATTTTTAATATACACAAAACAGCCTTCTATTGGAAGGAGATGCCATCTAGGACTTTCATAGCTAGAGAGGAGAAGTAATACTTGGCTTCAAAGCTTCAAAGGATAGGCTGAATCTCTTGTTAGAGGATAATGCAGCTGGTGACTTTAAGTTGAATCCAATGCTCATTTACCGTTCCGAAATTTCTAGGGTTCTTAGGAATTATGCCAAATATACTTTGCCTGTGCGCTGTCAATGAAACAACAAAGCCTGGACGACAGCAAATCTGTTTACAGCATGTTTTACTAACTATTTTAAGCCCATTGTTAAGACCTACTGCTCAGAAAAATCCCTTTGAAAATATTACTGTTCATTGACAATGCACCTAGTCACTCAAGAGCTCTGATGGCATTGTACAAGGAGATAAATATTGCTTTAATGCCTTAACATAACATCTATTTGGCAGCCCATGGATCAAGAAGTAATTTAATCTTTCAAGTCTTATTATTTAAGAGATAGATTTCATAAGGCTATAGCTGCCATAGATAGTAATTCTTCTGATGGATCTGGGCAAAGTACATTGAAAACCTGGAAAAGCACATTCCTGATTCATGGGAGGAGGTCAAAATATCAGTCTTAACAGGAGTTTGAAAGAAGTTGATTCCAACCCTCATGGGTAACTTTGAGAGGTTTTAGACCTCAGTGGAGGAAGTAACTGCAGATGTGGTAGAAATAGCAAGAAAACTACACTTAGAAATGGAGCCTGAAGACGTGACTGCATTGCTGCAATCTCATGATGAAACTTTAATGGATGAAGAGTTGCTTTTTATGGATGAGCAAAGAAAACGGTTTCTTGAGGTGAAATCTACTCTTGATGAAGATGCTGTAAATATTGTTGAAATGAAAACAAAGGATTTAGAATATTACATAAACATAGTTGGTAAAGTAGTAGCAGAATTTGAGAGGATTGACTCCAATTTTGAAAGAGGTTCTACTATGTGTAAAATTCTATCAAATAGCATCACATGCTACAGAGAAATCTTTTGTGAAAGGAAGAGTCAATCCATGCGGCAAACCTCATTGTTGTCTTATTTTAAGAAACTGCCACAGCCATCCTAACCTCCAGCAACCACCACCCTGATCAGTTTGCAGTCATCAACATCAAGGCAAGACCCTCCACCAGCAAAAAGATTATGACTTGCTGAAGGTTCAGATGATCATTAGCAGTTTTTAGCAATAAAGCATTTTTTTTTCTTTTTTGAGACAGGGTCTCATATTGTTGCCCAGGCTGAAATGCACTGGCATGATCACAGCTCACTGCAGCCTCTACCTCCCAAATTCAAGTGATCCTCCCACCTCAGCCTCCTGGGTAGCTGGGACGATAGTATGCCCCACGATGCCTGGATAATTTTTGTATTTTTTTTGTAGAGATGAGGTCTCAGCATGCTGCCCAGGCTGGTCTCAAACTCCTGGGCTCAAGTGATCCTCCCGCCTTGGACTACCAAAGTGCTGGGATTACAGGCATGAGCCACTGCTCTCGGCCGAATAAGTATTTTTTGATTAAGGTATGCACATTGTTTTTTAAATGTCCTGCTATTGCACACTTAATAGACTACAATATATTGTAAACATAACTTTTATACACACTGGGAAACCAAAAAATTGTGTGACTTGCTTTAATTGTGATATTTGCTTGCTTTATTATGGTGGTCTGGAATTGAACCTACAATATCTCCACTTGTGCCTGTACAACATACTTTATACTTTGGTGTCAAATATTTCCCTTGACTAAAATTCTGTCATAACGTATTAACATAGATGTCGAAATGTCTGTTTTTATTCTGAAGCATCACCAAATACAGAGGTTACTTAGTCCTCCTCCTCTCAACTCCCATTGCCCTAGGCCTGGCCTCTCCCTTTCTTACACACACACACAGACACACACATGCATTAGACTATCAAATCTAAAATCTTCAAAAATTCTCTGGAGTCAGAATATGTATCAAGGCAGCAGTTAAGAGCAATTATAATATTCATTTTAAAAGACCAAGAAATTCAGCCAAGTTTGAGGCCTTAAGTACAAGGATGAACATAGAAATGACAATGAATTTTGCCTAATAGTTTTCATAAGTGAATGTCTGGGAAAAAAGAATTGAAGTTTCACTCTAGCTAATCCAGCTAAGAAGATCTAAAAGGAATCCTGAAATGATCTATTGGGAATTTTACTCAGGTATTGATAGAGAAATGTTACAGGAATGTCCAAGTCAATTGTTTCTTACCTGTGGAGTCTAGTCTGTTAATATCATAAACTGCCTGGCTGTGAAACATCCAGAAGTGTCCGTTGTTGCAGGAAAGAAGACAGGAACTACATGGAACAATCACATGATAACCTACAATGTTCCCACTAGAAAAGAAAGTAAATGTTACTAGATACCATGTAATAACTAGCCAGATAAGTCTTTTCATATTGCTTATATAAATAGACCATATAATTTAGATCTCATTTCCTAACAACTTTCATTGCTGAGATCTTTGGGATGGGATGGGGGTGCAGTTCTACCATCAAGTGGGAAAGCAGTCTTTAAGTGAATAATAGTAAAATATTCTCACATTTCTTTGCTATTATTATTATTATTATTATTATTATTGAGACCGAGTTTTGCTCTTGTCACCCAGGCTGGAGTGCCTGCAACCTCCGCCTCCCAGGTTCAAGTGATTCTCCTGCCTCAGCCTCCAGAATAGCTGGGATTACAGGCGTGTGCCACCATGCCCAGCTAACTTTTGTGTTATTAGTAGAGATGGGGTTTTACCATGTTGGCCAGGCTGGTCTCGAACTCCTGACCTCAGGTGATCCACCTGCCTTGGCCTCCCAAAGTGCTGGGATTACAGGCATGAGCCACCATGCTTGTCCTGCTAGTATTATTTTATGCATTCTCCCTTCAGAAGTTAGCTTCTAGATGCCATAATGTTGTGATTTGTTTTATAAACCACCCAAATTGATGTGCTGTACAGACAAAATAAATTAAATTAACTCAGTTCTGTGGGTAAAGGTTTTTGCTATCCCAGGACTGTGGCAAGTTGGGTTCTTACATGTTCTAGTTTCATGCCAGCACCTAAAAACTGTTTCAACAGATGGAGAGGTAGGAAGACAGCATGAGTCCCTGTAAACCAAATACAATCTGGCTGCTCTAATTTTAGTCTCAGTGTTTTTGAAGGAACTCAGAAATAAAGCAATCTACAGCCTCCAGAGAAAGTTGCAAAAGTTTTTACAGTTTTCAGAATTATCCAGCTGATTATAAGTACCTCAGTCTTTCACAATTTTTTTTTTTTTTTTAACTAGCTAGTCACATATTAAATAGAGTGAACCTACAGGGAATGTTTTAGCTAGTACTTTAAAAAAAATAGCAACATGAACTGTTTATACCTTGAGTTGTAAAAATTCTTATTCAAGCTTAGTCTTACTCTGTGAGATTTGTGAGTCAGTCATTTTTATGAGACCCAATAAAGATTACTATAAAAGGTACCATTCCACCTAAAATATGTCTTCTAATTATAACTTGCTTGAAAGGCAAACAAATGAAAACAAAAGTTGTGTTTGGACTAGGAGTGCCAGTTATTTGTAAGACTATATTGCAAAAGTAAATTCCATGACTTTAATTACCGCCTATATTCATTCATTCATCCATTGATTCATCACTTAAACTAACATTTATTGAGTATCTACTATCTTTCAGGCACTGCTCTAGGTGCTAGGAATACACTGGTAAACAAAACAAAGCCCTTGTTCTCACGGAGCTAACAGTCTAGCGAGGCTACATCAGATCATTCTGCTCCCTGGTTAAAACCTCTTCAATAGCCAAAAATGAAAATAAAAACCTTTCCATACCAAGGTCCAGATCTATGCTGTCAAGAATAATAGCCACTAGCCACATGTGGCTGTTGTACACTTGCAGTGGGGCTGGCCTGAATTGAGATGTGCTGTTAAGTGTAAAATGTACACCAGATTTCAAAGAGTAAGACCAAAAAATGGAATATAAAATATTACATTAGTAGTTTATGTTGGTTACATGTTGAAATAATATTTTGGATACATTGGGTTAGACAAAATATATGATTAAAATTAACTTTCCTGTTTTGGTTTTCTTTTGAAAATGTTGTTCTTCGGGTGCGGTGGCTCATGCCTGTAATCCCAGCACTTTGGGAGGCTGAGGCGGGTGGATCACTTGAGGTCAGGAGTTCGAGACCAGCCTGGCCAACATGGCGAAACCCCACCTCTACTAAAAATACGAAAATTAACTGGGCATGGTGGCACGTGCCTGTAGTCCCAGCTACTCGGGAGGCAGAGGTGAGAGAATCACTTGAACCCAGAAGACGGAGGTTGCAGTGAGCCGAGATCATGCCATTGCACTCCAGCCTGGGCAACAGAGCAAGACTCCGTCTCAAAACAAAACAAAAAAAATGTCGTTGCCCAGGTGCGGTGGCTCACACCTGTAATCTCACACTTTGGGAGGCCGAGGCAGGTGGATCACTTGAGGTCAGGAGTTTGAGACCAGCCTGGCTAACATGGCGAAATCCCGTCTCTACTAAAAATACAAAAATTAGCTGGGTGGGCTGGGTGCGGTGGCTCACGCCTGTAATCCTAGCACTTAGGGAGGCCAAGGCAGGCGGACTGCCTGAGCTCAGGAGTTTGAGAGCAGCCTGGGCAACACGGTGAAACCCTGTCTCTACTAAAATATGAAAAATTAGCTGGGCATGGTGGTGCGTGCCTGTAGTCTCAGCTACTCAGGAGGCTGAGGCAGGAGATTCGCTTGAACCTGGGAGGCGGAGGTTGCAGTAAGCTGAGATCGTGCCACTGCACTCTAGCCTGGGTGACAGAGCAAAACTCCGTCTTAAAAAAAAAAAAAAAGAAAGAAGAAAATAATGTCCAAAGGCCAGTGACTTCATCTAGTTTTTGTTGTATTTCCAGCCCTTGTAACAATGACTACCACATACTAGTTCCTCAATACAAGTATAGCTTAAATAAAGGAATGAAATCAAATAGCACATAAGAAGAGCTTGCCAATTTAAATTATTAGGATTGTCATTTATAATACAAACCCCTTCTAAATACAAACCCCATCTAAATGAGAAAATTTCAACTTTTATCCTCCTAAAATGAAAATAATAACACGTCTACTCAAAAGATTATAGTAATAGCTCTCAGCTGTTGTAATTTATAGTTTATTGAGCACTTTAACATTCATATTTGCTCTTTATAATAACTTGATAAGGTAAACACAGAAGATTATTAAATTTCTATCTTAATAAGACAGAATGGCTGGGTGGGGTGGCTCATGCCTGTAATCCCAGCACTTTGGCAGGCCGAGGCAGGCGGATCACCTGAGGTTGGGAGTTCAAGAGCAGCCTGACCAACATGGAGAAATCCTGTCTCTACTAAAAAAAAAAAAAAAAAAAAAAAAATTAGCTGGGCATGGTGGTGCGTGCATGTAATCCCAGCCACTCAGGAGGCTGAGGCAGGAGAATCACTTGAACCTGGGAGGTGGAGGTTGTGGTGAGCTTAGATCGCGCCATTGCACTCCAGCCTTGGCAACAAGAGCAAAAACTCCTTCTCAAAAAAAGAAAGAAAGAAAGAAATTAAGGTAGGATGCAGTGGCTCATACCTGTAATCCCAGCCTTTTGGGAAGCTGAGGAGAGAGGATCACTTGAGGCCAGGAGTTTGAGATCAGCCTGGGCAACATAGCAAGACCCTATTGCTACAAAAATAAAAAACTTAGCCAGGTCTGGTGGTGCCTGCCTGTAGTCCCAGCTACTCAGGAGGCTGAGGTAGGAGAATCACTTGAGCCCAGGAGTTCAAGGCTACAGTGAGCTATGATCATGCCACTGCACTCCAGCCTGAGCAACAGTATGAGACCCCTCTAAAAACAAAGAAAGAAGGAGTAATAACCTAGAAATTAAATAAGAAAACAGAGGTTCAGCAGTTTAGAGGCTAAAGGAGTTCACTCAAGATCACATAGAGAGTAAGGGTAGGGTCAGACCTCAAACATGATTTTTATTATTGTAAATCCAGGTGTTTCTCCCCCCTAACCTACATTGCCTTGTTCTGAAAATTGAAGCGGATACTGTGAATACACTTTGAAAACTGTAAAATTATATACTAATGTGAAGCATCAGAAAACCCTTTTAAAAAATAGCTCTAAGTAATAAGTAATTTTTCAATGGCTCATTGCATGCTTTATACCAGTCCTTGTTGCAGCCCACTGAACCTTTCTCTATGCTTTGGTGTCAATATCCATCTTCCAAACCCAGAGCTATCCAGAATAGTGCCACAAATTACCATTTTAAACATGCGATGTCCTTCAGTTTACATTTGCAGATTTTGGTGAAATAGCATCTTCCAGTGAAGTCCACTGCGCTGGAGAGAGAAAGGTATAAAAAGACAGTCAGATGTACTTTACAAAAAATTTAATTGTGGCAAAAAATTAACAAAATTTACCAACTTAACAAGTTTTATGTGTGCAGAGCAGATGTGCTAAATATAATCACATTGCTGTGTAATGAATCTCCTGGGTTCAAGTGACCCTCCTACCAGAGTTTCCTGAGTAGGTGGAACTATAGGCGCCCTATACCACATTTTGTTTATCTGTTCATCTGTAGAATCAATGGACATTTGGATTGCTTCCACCTCTTGGCTATTGTGAATAATGCTGTTAATGAACATGGGTGTGCAAATATCTCTTCCAAGATCCAGTTTTGAATTATTTTGGATATGTACCCAGAACTGCTGGATCAGATAGTAATTCTACGCTTGATTTAGCACAAATTTTGTCAATCCAAAGAGCTGAAAGCTAACATAGAACTATAGTATATTTTTAAAGAGTCAGTTCATATTTGTGAGCTCAACATAAACATCTGACAAATTTTCCATTAAAAAAATTTTTATGTGTTCATTGATTCACATACATCTTAGCACGCTAATTCATTATTATTTTAACCCCTACAAAGAAGGGTAGAAAATGGGAAAAACATGATTCTATTCTAGACTTGGGTCTAACCTGTAACAATTCACCTAGCCTTCCTTATGACTGCCCTATTACTTACCATAGCTATTGCAAAGATGAATGGGTTAATATTTTAAATTTGTGTATGAGCTACTAAAAAGAAAAAGCAGTGGACAATGAATCACAGAACTTTGTAGCAGTAGGTTCTATGATTTATTTTCTAGTGTTTTCCCTTTTTTGAAATACATATACGATGTACACACACACAAATGTAAAATATTAACTTAGAATTTAAAAAAATTAAAAAGATTTTAAAATAACACATTTATCTCTGCAATAAATGAGAGCCTTTGGCTTTGCTGTTAGACATGATTACACTTAGACCAATTCAGAAAAGATTTCAAGAAAGGAAGAGTACACAGCTTTACCTGGGTAAATCAAAAAACTTGTAAAGTTTCTATCATTATCATGAAATTCATTTAAAATGAATTGTGGTTATTAACCTGCTTCCTCTGGCTCTATATCCAAAGACTTAGAGAATAACTGTCCACTCATATTTTGGATAATTACTTTCCTTTTAATAATAAAATTTCAATAAATAACTAAATTTTGAAGATTCATGTAGGGCATATATATGTTGATTATGGAAAGGGAAAGTACCATTTAGAGCTAGAAAGAGGTTTATTTGAGTCAAATAAAATGGCTATTTTACCAAATAGGAAGCAAATTCTTAAGGACTCTACACCCAAAAGCAGTTAGTGGCTGAAAACAAACAGATTTTAAAAGGGTTCAATTATGGGAACAAATGTGTAATGTCCAAAATAGTCTTTATTGGAGATAAGGATTAAGGCTAAGTCTCTATTTTTCATCCCATAAAAATCTATTTACATCTCTTTCAGAGAGAGAGAGTTTTGAGGAAAGAAAACTGAATTTGATGAACAACGGATCTGATTTAGGATGCCAATTGCAAATAATGATAGAAAACGGATTTTTTTTTTTTTGGTGCAAAATTTCATGGATAAAAATGAAAAACTTAAATGACCTCTCCTCTCCAACAGTACGGAAAATTTTGCCTGAATTTACCTAAAGTCTACGCCACGGACTTGATTCAGTGAAATAGGATGGTTGGGCAGGGCACTGAACCAGGGATCAAACTTAAGAGATGTGTGGTCGCATGACTGCAATTGAACTAGAAGCATTACATCAGGACTGACCACCTTGGCTAAACCACAGACTTTGTCCAGACAGTCTGCCCACTTAGATATATTCCAAGGGGATCATCAAACTGGTGGGAGTGGCTGAAACACCGAAATGATAACCTCCTTGTTGACTCCCACAGATCCAAGCCATAAGTGTTCCCATTTAGTTAAAAGCTACCGTTGCCCGCCACTAGCATGACTTACTTGGTAGGAGGGATGTCTGTAGAGAAAAGGTCTATTTCAGTATCAGCCAGCAAAACAGCCTTCATTCCCCTAGAGCTGAGCACTTGTTTACAGAATTTGCAACACAGGATGGACACGCACCTGTCCTTGAAACTACAAATGTTGGTAGACATGGCGTCGCAGGAAGGATGAGGTGTGGGATTTTGAAAAAGGAAACAAGAGTAATGCTCCTACTATTTTGATTCCCCTAGGCTAAAATTCAAATTGCGGGACCTAGAGCTTTTCTAAGTCCTAATATTGGGAAGGAAATTAGTTTTTTTTTCTGTTTTCCCGGTGGCGGAGTAGAAGAAGTATTTATTGAGTAGGAACAGGGGAGCGTGGCAAACTTGGCTTTCCTTTTAACTTTTGGAGAAGGGAGTGGAGTTTGAATTGGAGAGGAGGCAGGTGGAGTTTGAAGGGAACTTCTCAACGGCTTTCCCTTTCTGCTGTCTAAAGGAGTCCTCTACACTTCAGCTCCCGCCCCTTCATAGCAATTCCCTCAGCCTTCTCCGATCGTCTAATTTAAAGCTTCTCCTCTTTTAAGACATCCCTTCCCCAGCATTAAGCCCCTCCCCCGGAGCGCTCCGGTTCCCTGCTGTCGGATCTCGGGCTAAGCGTCCCTACCCACGCCTCCTCTTCCCAGGATTCAGAAACTCCCTTCTCTTTTTCTGCCAGGCGATCCCGGATTCTCCTCCGTCCCGCCCCTTTTCTCCCGGACCTTCCTCCGCTCTGCGGGTCCGCGGGCCCCTCTCCTGGCAACCCCCGGCCCTCAGCGTGCTCGCGCTGTTTCTCTCGCGTCCTCCCTTCCCTCAGCTGTCCCTCGTGCCCCCCGCAGTCCCCTCAGGTTTCTTCCCGGAGCGGCTGTTCCCGGGCGCGCGGTGGTGTTGGTGGGGCAGAGCTGAAGTCGCTTTAGAGGCTCAGTCGGCGCTGGGGTCTGTCACCGAACACGTTGGTTTTCGCTCCCTCTTCCGCTTTTCCTGCCTCTCCAACCCGGTATCAGTTTGAATTGCCAGCGCCGCGCACCGATTGGAAGAACTAGAGTTAGCCCCAGTCCCTCATTGGAAGGCTCCGGGGCCTCCCCTCACGAGAGCTTAGTGGCTTGAAGACCGTAGGCACCGCCCCAGTAACGGTGCTGAGATCAATTCGGCTTTCTGGTTGGCTGAGCTTGGCTCCGCCTCCGATCTCATTGGCCGGCTTCGGGAGGTTTCGGCAAACCCTGCCTTCGCCCTAGTGAAAGTGGCAAGGCACGCCCTTCCCGCTTCTTATTGGAAGAGGTTCTACAGTCTCCACCGGTCTCTACTCTTTATTGGTTAAAACTCCCCGCAACACCCCTCCTCTCTACCCCGGCCCAATTGGCCGTGCCTTAGCTCAAGAGTTTGTGTTTGGTCGTCGGTTCCACCTTAATCCCGCCCATCAGTTCTACTTAGGGGTTCAACAACCCGGGGTGGAGCTTAATCTGTGACCACGCCTCGGCAGTGCTAGTCACACCTCCAAGTTTTGCCAGCTCCTCCCCCTCATTCCGGGCCTCTCGGGATCAGCTCTTCCTATTGGCTATGGGCCCCATCGGTCGATAGAAAACGGGCGGTGATTGGTAAAGGGGTGGGCTCTACTTCCCGGCGGGGTCCTGCGGAGTTGGCGGAGGCTCCTCCAGGGACTGGGGCACCGATCTGCGTAGAAACGGGTGGCGGGGAAGAGAGGGGAGGAGAGCTCTGAGTGGGAAGCGGAGCCGGGGGCCTGGGACCCGTCGCGTCAGAGCCAGGTAAAGGCTCCTTCCCTCTTCCTTTTCTTCCTCCCGGCCGCCGGGCTGGAGCCCTGACTGAACAAACCGGGGCTGGGGCGGGAAGGAGAGGGCGCGGATGCTGCTCGCGGCATCGCCTTAGCGGTGCCGCCCGGAATCCCTCAGACCGCCCCCCCTCCACCCTCTCCAAATCTCCCAGTACAGCCCATAATACTTCTCAGGACTGCGAGTCTCTCCGCCCATCACTGTACAGCCTGGGACTCCGTCCTGGCTCACGGACCGCAGCGCAGCCGGCACCCAGCCGCCTCTCCCTTTCCTCCGCACACGGGCAGCCGCGGTCCACCGTAGGGCAGTCGTCGTTGGCATCGCGCGTAATCATCGGCCGGCCTCCTCCAGTGTCTCCCAGCCCTGGCGGACAGCCCGGGTCCCAGCCTAGGACCCAGGAGGATGGGTGTTCCGCGCAGCTTCCGGGGCTCTCCCCGAGTCCCACCCCCCGGCCCGCCCCGATGGACTTCTCTTCGCCCACTCCCATCCCTAGACCACATCTCGGCCCCCACAGTTCCTGACATCCTTGCGCTTCACGCAACATCGCGGCCCATGATCATGCCCCAATTCCCCTCACCTCTAAGGCAGCCTTCTCCTTGCCGCCTCCCGCCTTCCGAGCGTGTGCAACTCCAATTGTCCCCGGGCTCCCTTCCAGCCTCAGGACCCCATCTCACACCCGCCTCTCGCTTCCCGCTTCCCGCTCGCCTGAACCCCGCCGCCTCTGCTCCCTGTCTTGTTCCCTCAGCGTGGCCCCTTCCTCCAGCCGCGGGAAGTGGGAGACGCTAGCGGGAGCTTCCTCCTCCCGGCGCTCGGAGGAAAAGGAAAGACCAAGTAGAAAGGGTCGCCGCTGCGGCACGCGAGGGAGCTAGTCGCCGGGCTCCGCGCTCCCGCTTGCGTCCCTCCAGCCCCCTGGGCCTCGTCCGGGGCCGGATCTTCTCGGGCACCGCCTGGTGCGAGGAGTCAGGACTGCGACCTCACCGACCTCCTCCCATCCCCAGCCTGGGATTGGGTGGGATATCTGGGATCTCTGAGCTTGGGTGTCAAAAAAATATTGGGGGTGGCATTTATAGTCACTATCGTCCCTAGCTTGAGGGAGGCGACGGCTGCCTTCCGCTCGCCGCCCCCCGGTTTTCCCGGCTCCGACCCTATCCTCTAACCCGTTTCCTGCTTCAGCTGACCACATTGTTTTCCTGGATGTGTCCCGTGCCGAGCAGGCTTTTTCCTGCAGATTTGCCCCCCCCCCCATCAACATTTTGCTGCCAAGAGAAGCTAGTAACCAAAAACAAAACAACTGGGAGGAGGGGCGGGAGAGGAAGAAAAGTTGTGCCCTGGTGGCTTATCCCTCCCCGGCTTTGATCCCCTTTGATGTACAGGGAGGTGCCCCGGCCGGGGGTCTGGGGCCACGTCGGGGGCTAGGTCGGGAGGGCTCCCTCGGGCTGGCCGCTGCCCAGCGCTGGCGGGGCTCAGGAGGCCGCCGAGGTGCCGCAGTCCCCGCCTGGTGCCCCGCGTTCCTGCAGTCCCCGCCCGGAGCCCGCGCAGGCGGCTGCTCCAAAGTGTTTTCTTTCAGCCTTAAAATCCGGAGGGAGCTTCCTTCCTCCCCACCTCGTAGCGCCAGGCTCTGCGGGCGGGGAGACGTTAAGCGGACAGGAATGGGCCCAGGGCGGGCTCGGAACGACGTCCCCTACCCCACCCCCGCCGCGATTAGGATCTGCGCTCTGGCTGATCGCCCCCTCCCCCTTTTCCTGCATTTACAGGCAAGTGAACCGGAGCAAACGACTTCCGATCCAGTCTGCGCTGTTGCGGCTCCCGTTTGGGATTTGATTTGCAGCATCTTTGAGCCTCTACGACAAAAAACCGCGAAGCACGCCCAGCCCTCCCCCGGCACCCCGAAAAGCACCCACTCCCTCCCGGGGACACAGCTGGGCGCGTCCACACCCCCGCAGCCCCACACCATGTTGTGCGGAAGGACTTCCACTCCCCGCCTGTGTCGTTGATGTCAGACCCCAGGCCAGCCTCCGGGCGCTGCAGTTCTCCCGGCTAATGCTGAGGCTGCGGCTCCGGCTCTAGCACAGGCACCAGCCGCCGCCGCACCCGGCCCCAGCGCCCACCGTCTGCATGTGCCCGCCGTAGCCGTCTGCCCAGCCCGCAGCCCGCGCTCCACGGAGCGCTGGAGACCACCGTGGGGGGCCCCTTCTGCCCTCGAGAGAAGCGGTCTTGGAGGTATTGATTTAGGTGGTTGGATTTTTTCCGTGGATCTATCAATTCACAATTCGAATTTGGAAGAAAGAAGGAAAACATGACGTCTCCAGCCAAATTCAAAAAGGATAAGGAGATCATAGCAGAGTACGATACTCAGGTCAAAGGTAAGGGCTTTGAAAAATAGCACACTGCAAATGCTCTGTGGACTGGTGAGGCGTGTATTTCCACCGTGATTTGCAGGTTGTTCATTTCTTTGGGTGGAGCAGATGGGGGCAGGCTGACCCCAGAGGTGGTTTCATAGATGGGTCTGAACCTCCAAAGGATGGGCAATGCCAGGGGGCCATTGACACTGGAAAGGAATTTTTGCAGTGGGCTGTAGGAGTATCTTTGTGGGGCTGACCATGATTTTGGCAGCCCTTTCCCCCCCAAGCCGGACAGGGTGGGGGGAGGGGCAGGAGGCTCTTAGAGAAAGGCAGTTTGCCTCCGGTTCTCTGGGTCAGGTTTCCTTGAAAGACAACTGAAATCTGACAGGTGTTTGGACATTTGTTTCAGAGATTGAAGAGGAGTCCAGACAGAAAGGCAACCTTGGGAAGGTGTACCATTTGGAGAGCCTTGGGAGAGGCGGGGTTTTTCGGATGCACTATATTAAAACATGAGATTTGCAATGGCATTGGCACCAAAAGTCCATTGCCACCTTGGGTGTACCTTGTACCTGCCTGGTCTCTGGTCGGCCTGCATACAATCAGAGATCAGAGAATAAGGCCACCCACGCCCGGTCTCCGCCCTCACCTAAATCTGAATAGAGTTGGGAGGATGTTAGGGTAGCCGGTTGGTGCTGATTCTGGAAAATGGGAAGACATAATTGTTTAACCCTTCTGTGCTGTGGCCCTCTGCTCCGGAAGACATGCTTTTAAAGCCCCATTTCCCTCTCCTGAAAAATGTGAAGGGTAAAGCAAAATGTGGACTAGGAGAAACCAAGTGACCTGTCTTCTCATCTAGTCGACTGACTTGACTCATGAATAAGAGCCCTTACTCAGATAGCGTTTTTTAAACCAGCAGTTCCCATAGGAAGGGTTCCTGCCTGTTAAAGAGCTGCAGCATGTGTTTGTGCAAGGCACTGTCCCTTCCTGGTCAGTCACTGGAAAGAGCCATGTGGCTCCAGCCCATTGAGACCTTAGCTGGGGAGTGGAAGAGGTGGGTGGCCTTGAATGTTACACCACATGGTTGGAGCTCTGGGTTTTCCTTTGTTTCAGAGTACAGAGGGAGGGGCCCCTCCTTTCCCTGCACCAGTGCAAGGAGACCTTTTCCTATCAGAGAGGACTTGGGAAGGGCCATGGCTCCCCTCTAATGATTGCTGGGGGGTGGGGGTAGGTGTAGAGTTTGAAATGGGCAGCTCCCTTATCTCTTGGAAGGTTGGAAGGTAGTCTGAAGTCCTCATTGTACCTACAGGATCTTTTTTATGTCATTAGTTTGGTCAGTGCTGGAGGTGCCCTAAGGGGCCTTCTATCCACTTGGCTGCAAATATTGGTAGGTTTATTACAGAGATGGGGGAGTTGACTGATTGATAGCTTCAGTTGAACTGGGATTGAGAGAGGTGTGGTTGTGAGTTATTATTGAGGTCTTGGCCTCTTGTCACTGTTCATAATCCAGGCTTGTTTTTGTAAACAATAGGCCACTGGCCTCCATGTCCTGTCCAGATGCATTGCATTTGCTCTTGGAATCCCCCCTGCAGTTTTAACCAGATATGTCTTTTTTTTTTTTTTTTTTTAACACATCCTATTCTTAAACTGTTGCCATCGGGAGTGTTAATAACTTTGATCTTCCCAGATTTCTCTCCAGAAGCACGCCATTTGACTAAGGTGCAAAGTGACTTTAAATGTTTAATTTTTGGAAGGTTCAAGGCTGATAGGTGTTAATAGAACCATATCTGCCAATTTCTTATTGGCAAAGGATTTCTCAAGAGTGTCTCAAAATTAAACACTTTGGATATTTACAAACATTGCTCATTGAGATGATGTAATGCAGTCGGCTATTTGGGTTCTCTCTTCAACCTTGCCACAAACAGACTATTTTGCTTTGCTCTGATATTTTCCCATTGATACTATTCAGGATCATAGAATTTTATAGGTGGCTGAGCATGATGTCTTACTCCGAGAAGGTGCCTGATGAATGCTTATGGAACTGATTTGAATAGTTTAGTCCTTCATTTTACAGCTGAGGAGAATACAGAGAACTGAAGAGGCTTGTCCAAGGTCACACGGCTAGATGGTGGCAGATCTGAAACTAGAAGCAGATTTACCAACTCTCAATTCTCTATTCTGTATCTTTACTATGAAACATCATCTGACCAGGGTGGAAAAAAATAAAAAATTCTTAAGGAGCCCAAATCTGTCAATGAATAATAATAGTAATAATGATAATGATAATAGATTACATTTTGGTTGCTCATTATGTTCCAGTCCATCCCAAGTGCTTTAAATGAATGGTCTGGTTTAATCCTTACCTCAACCCAGGAAATGGGTATTATTGTCACCTTCCATTCACCATATAAGGAAACTGAGGCTTAGAGAGGATGAGAAGCCCTTCCAAGGTCACACAGCCAAACCATGGCAGCTTGACTTCATTCCTTTATTCATTAACTATTTATTGAGTGCTTGCTGTGTGTTCTGGTGATTGGCCATACAGCTGTGAAGAAGAAAAAGTCTCTACCCTCATGGAGCTTATATTCTGGAAGCTGGGCTCTCTATGGAACAGCACAGAATTTGGAGACAAAGGGCCTGCGATCTGGTTTGGCTCTGCCCCCGACTAGCTAGAAGCCCTGGGTCAGAATTATTATGAGTGTCAGCTTTTTGTGTGTTATATGGGACTCATGGTGCTGCCAGACTTACTTCTCTTACAGATGCCAAGATAAAAAGAAAATTGCTGTAACAGCTATGCAGTTTGGTTTGGTTGTTAAGTGCAATTTTTAGAGTCAAAGTGATTCAGGTTTAAATCTTGGTTCTGACAGTAGCTAGCCTTTCACTTCAGGCAAGTTACATGACTTGTCTGAGCCTCAGTTTCCTTATTTGGAAAATAGGTAAAATAAAATACATTTCCTAAGATAGTAGTGAGTTGTTGATGAGATATATAAATTATTTAGAACAGTATCTTGCACTTGTAAGTGCTCAATAATGGTACGGTCTACTTCTCTGTGAGCCTTTCTTTTGCTGAATTGGGCTGACTATTGAGGCTGCATTGCATATTCACTCCCAAAGTGCCAGCTATTAAATGATAGGAAATAAGTAAGGAATGAAACTTAAGTTCTAGCTTAAGATCATTTAGTTGTAACAAAACATCTTGGGTCAGTCACTTAAACCCTCTGGACATCAGTTTCTTTTTCTGTCAGTGAACAAGTAAACTAATTATTGGCCACTGTGGTTCGGCCTGTCTTTGACCAGAGTCCCAGGTCCTGTTTTTTCAATCAGAATTGTTTGAGTCAAATGGACTCTAAATGGGACCCTCATCTCATGGGACTTTCTGGGACCCTCCCTATCCCTTGATTTTTGCCTCCCTATAAACCACCTGCTTGCATGTGCCCTGAGGAACTCCTGAGGCTTCAGCCCCAACCCTACCCCAGAGTGGTTTTATGAGGGGTGTGCCTCCTTAGTCAGCCTGCCTTGTAGTGTCTTCTTAAAAACCATCATTGTTTCTGGTTTGTGGGTGCCCAGATTCCTTGGAAAGTTCATGCCTCTCAATGTCTGACTTGAAAGCAATAATATTCTTAGTCTTTTTACATAGCTCTTTCCAATTTACATTATGCTTTCATATGTAGTTGTCCGTCAGTATCCTCAGGGGATTGGTTCAAGGACTACCCCCACTTCCCCCAGGATACCAAAATCTGCAGATGCTCAAGTCCCTGATAACTAATGGTGTGGTATTTGCGTATAACCTATGTACACACGTCCTTCTGTATACTTTAAATCATCTCTAGATTACTTATAATACCTAATACAGTGTAAATGCTATGTAAATAGTTATACTGCTTTTAAAATTTGTATTATTTTAAATTGTTGTATTGGTATTTTTATTGTTTTTTTTTTTTTCTTGAATATTTTCCATTCCCATTTGGTTGAATCTGCAGATATGGAACCTGCAGGTATGGGGAGGGCTGATGTACATTAATCTCTGGAAATTCTTTACAACCCTGGTCAGATTCATGGTCATAAACTGAAGCCTTTGGCCTCTAGCCTGTTAGCTTGTTGCTGGGATTGGAGCAGCGAAGGTGGTAAGTTGCAGGGCATGGTTACCAGGGTTGTGAATCTGGGTGGTATTTGGGTGAATACACATGACTGTATACAGTCCCAGCTATTGTTCTTTCCTTATTTAAGGCCCCTTTCCTTTACCCTCTCTATACCTTGAGTTTTTACAGTCTCCCAGAAAGCTTGAGATTGACAGTTCATGCAAATATTCCAGAAGAAATAGTCTGAAACAGGGTGGCACTGTATGCTGAGCAGTCACATTTTCTTTCTCGAGAACATTAGGGGTCTTGTCTTTTTTTTTTTTTTTTTTTTTTTTTTTAATGTCTTAGGAGAACAGTGTGTGTGCACCACAGAGCTGGAAGCGAAATTTTGTAATTTCCATCTGGAGCATTTTGATAGAAAAAGTGCAGGCCTTTGCTTGGAACAGTTTAACCCTTTCAGGACCCTTCAAGAGCAGGAGATGAAATTTAAAACTGGAGTCGTATTGTGTGTGTATATATACTTGGGAATGTTGATGGCTGGTATATAAACAAGCTCTTTCCCTTGGGAGGTCTGAGCAGTTTTTCATTCATGCCAACAAAGGTCTTCTCCAAAGCTTCTTTCCTCACAGCTCCCATTCCCCAAGGGAGCTTTAAATATAATCAGTTAATCAGTTTTAAATATAATCAGTTAAATATAGTCAGTTTGAAAAGCTGCAGTAAAACATTTAGTTGGAATCCTCAAGCAGATGCTATCATTTTCCTGCAAGATGATTGAGGGCTCCTGTCCCTTGCTCAGGGGAAAAAACAACAACAAAAAAAGCTACTCTGCAGCAGTAAGGTGAACTGGAAGAAAATGAAACTCTTGGAAACTTTCAAGTACCATACTCTGCATCTTGCAATTGAAAGACCCTAGAGGAAGGTGGTGGGCAAGGAGCCAGGGGATGCAGTGTACTGTGCAAAGAAGCAGTAGTTGGAAACAGTGTTCATGAGGGGTCCTTAGCTTTTTCAATTTCAGGTGTTCTTGGGGAATGAGAACAGAAATTTCCTTTGAAGAAGCCTATCTGGTAATTGTGGCCACATCCGTTATGTATCATGCAGGTTGAAAACTTAGACAGGCTCTGATGATTTCTCTGCTATGAGGTGTCCAGAGATGGACCTGGCTGCAGTATGTAGGCGCCCTCACTATTAAAATCAGCAGGTACCCAGACCCTGACTCCCATTATTCACTCCAGATAAACTGGGCTACCCAGTGGCACCTGTAGAGTTGTCCTTCCAGAAGTGAGAATGCTTCATGGGAATTGTGCTTACCTTATACCCTTGACCTCTGACAGCTACATTAGGAAAATATGTCATATTGCAGGGAAAAAGCAGTTGATATGTAGATTTCTGGTAGTAATAAAATTAGCAGTTTTAACCTGGTGTCAGCTCCAGAATTGACTTTTTGGGGAATCTGGGAAAGTTGCCTTGGAAGTTGTTAGGTTTAAACATAAGTAATAACAGCACTTAAAAGCATTTTAAAAAATTACAAAATTAACACCCTTACTGATTTTACAATAATGTGTAGGAACTCTCATATCTCCCTTACTCTCTGTAATTGTGGTAGAATACACAGGAGGTTGACCATCTTAACCATTCTAGAGTACAGTTCAGTAGCATTAAGTACATTCACATTGTTGTGCAGCCATCACTACCATCCATCTAAATGACTCTTTTCATCTTGCAAAACTGAAACTTTATACCCATTAAACAACAGCTCCCTATTCCCTCCTGCCCCTGTCTCTGGCAAGCACCATTGTACTTTGTCTCTATTTGATAACTCCAGATACTGCAGGTAAGTGGAATCATATTGTATATATTTTTTGTTACTGGCTTATTTCACTTCCTATAATGTCCTCAAAGTTCATCCATGTTGTAGCATATGTCCAAATTTCTTTCTTTTTTAAGGTTGAATAATATTTAATTGTATGTATGTACCCCATTTTGTTTACCCATTCGTTCATTGATGAACACTTGGGTTGTTTCCACCTTTTGCCTATTTTGAATAATGCTGCTGTGAACATAGGTGTAACATAGGGGTGTTCTTTTTTCTTTTTTCTTTTTTTTTTCAGATGGGGTCTCACTCTGTCACCCAGGCTGGATTGCAGTGGCTTGATCACGGCTCACTGCAGCCTTGACCTCCTGGGCTCAAGTGATCCTCCCACCTCAGCCTCCGAAGTAGCTGGGGCTATAGGCACATGCCACCACACCCAGCTAGTTTTAAAATTTTTTGTAGAGATGAAGTCTCCCTACATTGCCCAGGCTGGTTATTTTTTTTTTAAAAGGTACACTATACCAAAGTTTTACAAGCCTGTATATACATTTCTATATAATCACTTGTCCTGATAAATTTTTTAAATTTAAGGTTTTAATATGTGCATTAGCTTGTATATTAGTATATTATTAATTATAAAGTTGTACACCTTTTAATAATTACATGAATTACTAAACTTTTACCATATTTTTAATAGCTTTATTGAGATTTAATTGACATTTAATAAATTGCACATATTTAAGGTATACAATTTGATAGGCTTTGACATATATAATACCCATGAAACCAGCACAATCAAGATAGTGAATGTAATCATTACCCCCAAAGTTTCTTCATTATAATGTATTAATAAACCAGTACTATTGGCCAGGCACAGTGGCTCATATCTGTAATTCCAGCACTTTGGGAGGCCAAGGTGGGAGGATTGCTTGAGCCCAGGAGTTCAAGACCAAACTGGGAAACATAGTGGGACCCCATCTTTGCAAGAAAAAAAAACAAAAAACAAAAAACTGGCTGGGCACGGTGGCTTACGCCTGTAATCCCAGGATTTTGGGAGGTGGGCAGATCACCTGAGGTCAGGAGTTCAAGACCAGCCTGGCCAATATGGTGAAACTCTGTCTCTACTAAAAATAAAAAAATTAGCCGGGTGTGGTGGCAGGCACCTGTAATCCCAGCTATACGGGAGGCTGAGGCACGAGAATCACTTGAACCTGGGAGGCAGAGGTTGCAATGAGCTGAGATCTCGCCATTGCACTGCAGCCTGGGCAACAAGAGCGAGACTCCATTTCAAAAAAAAATTATCTGGGTGTGATGGCACATACCTGTAGTCCTAGGCTCTCTTAGGATGATGAAGCAGGAGAATTGCTTGAGCCCAGGAGTTCGAGATTGCAGGGAGCCATGATTGATTGCACCATTGCAGTCTAGCCTAGGTGATAGAGCTAATAATTATGTTATAGAAGAGGCATTAACTTCAAGATAACTAAATGAAAGCCTGGTATTAACAAATTTTAAAAAGTAACAAATAAATAATGATCTAAGCTACCCAGATTAGTTTCTGGAAAATTTGTTTAACCAAGACAATCTCCAAGGAAAGTCAGGCTAATAATTGTGTCTCAGCCGTTACTCTGCTTTTAGGAGGGAAGGTACAGGATGGAGTGAGAAAGAAAAGAAAAAAAATCATGGCCATGTTAGGAGTGGACAAATGACAGTGTCTGTTTCCATATAGAGTTGGCTTGGCTGGGTGTGGTGGCTTACATCTGTAATCCCAGCACTTTGAGAGGCCGAGGCAGACGGATCACCTGAGGTCAGGAGTTCGAGACCAGCCTGGCCAACATGGTAAAACCTCATCTCTACAAAAATACAAAAATTAGCTGGGCGTGGTGGTGGGTGCCTGTAATCCCAGCTACTCAGGAGGCTGAGGGAGGAGAATCGCTTGAATCCAGGAGGCAGAGGTTGCAGTGAGCCGAGATCATGCCACTGCACTCTAGCCTGGGTGACAGAGCAAGCCTCCATCTCAAAAACAAAAAACAAGCAAACGAAAAAATAGATCTGGCCTGAACTAGTCCTAGGGCCTCATGCCTTTTTAGAAGGGGTCACAAATAAGCCAGATGTCAAGGAGAGGGGCTAGAGGCTCCCACTGGAGATCTACTCAGAATGTTCTTAATATGGCTTCTTTCTTCTAATGATTGACTCCCTATTGCCTGCTAAATACAGACCAACTTTCTAAGGTAGACATGAACTTCATTCTCAATCTGACTGCAACCTATTGTTTCGACCACATTTCTTATTTTGCTTTAAGAGGACTGGAAGCCTAACTTGACTGCTTACCATTCTTTAAACACATAGACTACTAGCTAACATTTGCTGTCTGTTGGATGTTTACCACTTACTAAGCATTATGCTAAATACTTTATATAGATTATTCCATAATCCTTACTCCAACTTTAGGAAAAAGATGTTACTAGTATCCCATTTTACTGATGAAAAAAGTGAGGTGTAGGACATTCAGTTATTTCTCCAGGGTCTGCAGCTGGTGAATAATGGAATAGGAACCTTGGTTGTCGCCAGAGTCTAAGTTCTACGTGTTGCTCATGAAATGCCCCTTTTTCGCTGCGCAGTCCCGTATCTTCACCTATTGAAATCTCATCCTTCTGCTGGGGGCAGTGGATCACCTGAGGTTGGGAGTTCGAGACCAGCCTGACCAACATGGTGAAACGCTGTCTCTACTTACAATGTAGAATTAGCTGAGGGTGGTGGCACTTGTCCGTAATCCCAGCTACTTGGGAGGCTGAGGCAGGAGAATGGCTGGAACCCAGGAGTTGGAGGTTGCTGTGAGCCGAGATCGTGCCCTTGCACTCCAGCCTGGGCAACAAGAGTGAAACTCCATCTCAAAAAAAAAAAAAAAAAAGAAAAGAAAGAAAGAAATCTCACCTTTCTGGTAAAGCCCAACGTTTCTGGGATTCCTTCCTTAATTGCTCTGACCAGAAA